>NC_000003.12:171735877-171887392 GCF_000001405.40 Homo sapiens | reverse complement strand
ATGTAAGAATAGTACCAATAAAGTTTTAAAATTAATCTTTTTAGTGAGTATGCATAAATTAGTCCCTCCTTATCCATACGGGATATATTCCAAGACCCCAGTGGGTGCCTGAAACTGCAGATGGTACCAAACTCTATATAGGCTATGTTTTTTCATGCATACATATCTATGATAAAGTTTCATTTGTAAATTAGGCACAGTAAGAGATTAACAACAATAACTAATCATAAAATATAATAATTGTAACAATATACTGTAATAAAAGTTATGTGAACCTGATCCCTTGTTTGTTCTGTGCCTCAGAATTTCATACTGTACTGTACTATGGGTAACTGAAACCATGGAAAGCAAAACCAGAGGTGGGGGGGGCACTTCTTTATGCATAAAAATGCATAAATCCTAGGTGTAAAGATCAATTAATTTTCACAAATTGAACAAACCAATGTAATAAATACACAGATTAAGATATCAAACTTTTTCAGTACGCCAGTCATTATAGCTCCGAAAGTAACAGACATTTCCAAATTACAAATTATTGGGGCTATTTCTCAGAAGTAGGACAGACCTCCACCCACATTTTGATTCCAGTATCAAGAATGATGACACCGCACACATTCCAAGAAGGTATGAGAAGGTTTATTGCATAGTGAGACTTTCTGGGGAGAATATGGTAGGCCTCCCACACTGGTCTGAAAATGGCTTGGAGAAAGTAAGAAAGTGAGATTGGCCTAAGGTGGTTGGGGTGGGGTCAGGGTGAGTGTTCCTTCATGGAGAAAGGTGTTTGCAGGGTTTCAACCACTCTCTGTTATCAAAGAAGGGAGCGCCAAGATTTGTTAATCAATTTGGTCAGATGTGTGGCAGAAGGGAAGAAGGAAGGGCATGGTTTTAAAAATATCCGCAGTCCAACTTCAAGACATGGAGTCAGACTTTTTAATCTTTATTAATTTATTTAATTTTAATTTTATTTCTTTTTATTTTGAGACAGGGTCTCCCTCTGTCTCCCAGGCCAGAGTGCAGTGACATGATCATGGTTCACTACAGCCTCAACCTCCTGGGCTGAAGTGATCCTCCTGCCTCAGCCTACCAAATACCTGGGACCACAGGCACATGCCACCACGCATGGCTAATTTTTGTATTTTTTTGTACAGACAGAGTTTTGCCATATTGCCCAGGCTGGTCTCAGACTCTTGGGTTAAAGCAATCTGCTCACCTCAACCTCCCAAAACGTTGTCATTACAGGCATAAACCACTGTGCCCAGACAGACTTTTTATTACACAAACACAACCAATGTTCATTTCTTGCTCATGCTACATGTCCATGATGGTTTGGGTAGGGTCTCTGGTCCATATCCTCTTTACTCTAGATTGTCAGAGAAACTATTCTCTGGAGTATTGCTGACTTTCTAGCAGAGAAAAATGAAAAAATAGCCTGTTTCATGCAAGATCTTAAAGCTTCTGCCCAGAAGTGATGCGTGTCAATTGCACTTATATTTGTTCACCAAAGCAAGCCACATAACTCTGCTGGATACAACAAGGGAAGAAGCGTGCAATCCACCATGTGTTTAGAAGGAGGAGCACCATTGTGTAAAGATTATCCTAACACAAAAATATAAAACTAAAATATAAAATAGAAGGAGGAGCACCAGAAAAAACGATGAACAACGCTGTTGTCTACCCCAGGTGGATGTTAAAGGTTGAGTAGGGCATTGACAGGTGAAGAAAATAACACTGTTGAAATGGAAGGATTAACATGAGTAAAGATGTGAAGGGTGCCTGGTATGGCCCAACCAGAGTGCCTAAAATGGACTCATGGAAATGAGCTTAGAAAGCCTTGAACATTAAGTATTTTGCATTTATAACATGTGATGGCAGAAATAATTTTTAGAATATTAAAAAGTGTTTTTAGTAAGGTGATTTAGATATAGTAAATAAGAAATTGGAATTCTATTATAATAGAGGAGAGCGAATGAAGGTCTAAACTAGACAGTTGCGGTGGGGATGAAAAAGTGGAGGCTGCACCTATGGAGGTCCAATTGGATATGAGATGAGAATAAACTGATAATTATTCCATCTTCTTCTTCCTTGGTTGACTGGAAGAATGATGGTGGCATGTCATAGGGCACAAAGAGCCACCCAGGGGAAATTAATGTTTGCTTCTGAAAATGCTGAGTTTAAGGTGATGGAAGTACAAGGAATAGACACTCAAAAACTGCTGTGTAACACCTAAGAACAGAAACAAAACTGGACTCATAGATGCTAAAATCAACATCCAATAGGTGACTTTTGAAGCCATGGAATTGGATGAGGTTGCCCAATGAGGGAGACTACAAAGTTAGAAGGAAAAAAAGCTGGCCGGGTGCGGTGGCTCATGCCAGTAATCCCAGCACTTTGGGAGGCCGAGGTGGGTGGATTACCTGAGGTTGGGGGTTCAAGACCATCCTGACCAACATGGAGAAATCCTGTCTCTACTAAAAATACAAAAAATTAGCCTGATATGGTGGTGCATGCCTGTAATTTCAACTCTCGAGAGGCTGAGGTAGGAGAATCGCTTGAACCTGAGAGGCAGAAGTTGCAGTGAGCCGACATCGCACCATTGCACTCCAGCCTGGGCAACAAGAACAAAACTCCGTCTCAAAAAAAAAAAAAAAAAGAGAAAAAAGCTGAAGATGGAACTTTGGTGAACACTTACATCTGGGGACCATGCTGATCATATAAAAGCTAGTAAAGAAAACAAAGAAGAATCTGTCTGAGACAGGAAAAGAGCACAAGCTTCAGGAGGAGAGATTCAAGAAAAAAAAAAAAAAAAGGAGTGGTTCACAGTGGCAAATTCTGCCAAGGGGACACATAGGAGGAACACCAAAAAGATGACAGTGGAATGCCTGTGAGAGGTGACAAGTGATCTTTGCGAAAACCATTTTATAGAGAAGTGAAATTAGAAGGCAGGAAGGTTACAGCAAGAGAGGGGAATAAGTAAATATAGATTATACTTTTGGTAAATTTGGGATTGAAAAGGCAAGCTATGTATGGGAAAATAGCTTAAGAGAAAGGCAGAGTTTCTGGAAAGTTGAGCTATGTAACTTGGCATGCCATCTTGCACACTTTCTTTAGAGCAAGTGTTTTCATTAAAATAAATTATGCTAGAATCTAACTACAATTCTTGGTAGGTTCTGAAACACATCATTAGTACCTAAGAGAATTCCACAGGGGTGGGTGTGAGGCTCAAGATGGACGAAACAGAATCAGCCCCAGAATTGTTTCCGATCCAGAATGCGGCTGGGTTTGGAAGCTGCCCAAATGTAAGATGAGACCTGCCAGTGGTCCTCTTACCTTACATTCATTGAATCAGCCTGAGAAAGGGGCCGACACAGAGGAAAAGAGCCCAGTGAGACAGTCTGGAGAGAAAAGCATACGTCCCTGCCTCTAGCTGGGCTTGAAGCAAGACCTGAGTGTGCAATTTTCCGTTATGAGACCCAATCAACCCCCTCTATTAAAATTAGTTGGAGTTTAGTATCCTGTTATTTGCAACTAAGAGTCCTAATACATAACATCACTTAAAGCCATGTACACATCCTTCTATATCACAGGTGGGATTTTAAAGAACTAACATTTGTTGAAATCTGTGAAGTCGCGACGGTGAGAAGGAAATTCAGAATAGAATTGAACATTTGTCTTTCCTTTAATTATTAATGGTTTCACTATGTGAATAGGAAAAATGTTGCAATAAGCTAAACATTAACTTTTGAATCATCAGTGTACACAGTTTTCATTGGGATACAGTTATGGAGATATTTAGTTGTTGTTTTCCTCAGCCTTTAAAAAAATAATGACATTGCCACAAACAAAAGGATCATATCTTTGATCTTTTTAAAGGAAAAAATTTCCATCTTTATGATATAATTGCAAGGTCCCAAGATCTAAAAGGATCTTTACCCATACAGGCTGCATGGGCTGGTCTTCCTTATTTGTTTTTGGATTAGTTCCCAATTGACATCAAACACAGCAGCAAGACCCTTTTCTCTTTTGTGTTACAAGCAGCATCAATTTGTGAATTGTAAATACCCAAACTCTCTCCTGAAGATTAGCTTAACTAAATTGTCCTGGGGCAAGAGATGAGGAATTCATCCTCTACTTGCATGATTAAAAAAAAATTAACTTTCAAAAGGAGCAGGAAGAAGCTTGTCCACAATAAATCACTAGCAAGCAAGTGTTCTGAAGGGGAAAAGGTTGATATTAATAGAGGCAGCATTTTTCTTTCAGTAGAAAAGTTCTTTCAGTGAATTTGGAACTGACAGCCTTCAAAACTTAGGAAGTTAAGGATTAGAATGGCACAAATTTAAGAAGAAATATTACTGTGTTTTATATACTTGAAGATGTTTCTTCCTCTAATTGGGAGGTAGTTACATTCAAATGTCCAAATTACCTACAGTGTTTGTAAACTCCACATATCTAAGGCCACAGTTCACTTTTTGTGTATATGTAAAGGAGTTTGACTGATCCATTTAATTATCAATGAGAATAAAAGTATCAATGGGGATACAAATGTGGCTTGATAAAGAGATGGTCTTTAGACTTGGCATATAATTATATAGAAAATTTCTTAGTGCATTATCATACATTAGAGAGAAAAAGGCAATGGCCCGGGGGTCAGAAGACTGGTTGCTTTACTGCTACCAAATTAGAAACTTGGATAAATTAGCTAATCTCTCAGGATCTCAATTTCCTCATCTGTTACAGGTTATTGGGGAGGATTCTATTGAGACTTTTTGCTGATATTTTAGCTACTATTGCTATGTAACAAATTATCCCAAATTTATTGGCATAAAACAACATTTTATCATACAAATGAGTTCTATGGGTCTGATATTCAGGCAGGGCTCAGCTGGGCAATTTTTTTGCTTCTTGGGGCAATTGTTGAGGTCATCTCAGCTGGCAGATGAGATAGTCCAAAGAGTTCAAGACAACTTCACTCACCTTTCTTGGCAGAACTGAGCTCAGTCTGTCAACTGAAGTGCCTGTACATGGCTTCTCTAGCATCATGGTCTCTCTGACTTGCAGGTTTTAGGGTGGTCATACCTGTTACATTGCAGCCGGCTTCTCCCACAGCAAGCACCCCAAAAGAACCACGTGGTTCCAACATAGCAGCCTTAGAAGTCACACACCATTTTTGCTGCTCTCTGATCATTGCAAGTTTGCTCAGATTTAAGGGCAAAGAATATCAATTCGAACTTTCGACGAGAACAACATCAAGGAATTTTACATCCACATTTTAAAACCACCACACCTACTTATAAGGCTCCAGATATGATCTCTTATCATCATTCTCCAACACACTGTGTCCTCTCCTATATTTCATTCGTTCATTCATTCATTTATCAAATATTTTACTTCATACGGGCATAGCGGGTAGCCTGTCAAAAAATTGACTGGCAAAGCAGAAACATAATCTCTGCTCTCACATAGTTTATGGTCCAATGCAGGACACATATATTAATCAAACACAGGCAAATATACAATTATAAAATCTACTACAAGCCACAAAGGAAAAGTACAGGGATCCCTGGGTACACAGCAGAGAGATCTGGCTCAATTGAGGTAAAGGGGAGGCTTCCCTGTGGAAGGAATGTCCACTTTGAAATATAAAGAATGGATTGGAGCTGGGTAGGTGAAGAGTATCAATATTGCCCCTAAATCTTGGTCTCCTAATTTAGAAGAACCCATTGTTTCCACTCGACTTGTTTTTTAGCAGTCATTGATTTCAGAAGGTATTGATATTTGATACTGAATATGTAGCCTCTGATTTGTTCTGGCCTTCTTGGACCTCTACTAGCTCCCTACTGCTAGCTGAATAAAATCAGTAGGTTTAGTAAGGCACTGGAAGCCCTTCATGTGCCAGCTGCGTCCTAACTTCATGGCCTCATTTCCTCCATCCATTTTGGATTCCACGCTCCAGCTACACCAGCCTGCTTGCTATTCCCAGGGCATGCATTAATTTTCATGCCTCTGCGCTTTTATTCTCACTGACCTCTCTTTCTGAGATGTGTTTCCTCTTTGTCTCCACCATTAAAATGCTATAATCTTTGCAGGTCTTGATCAAGTGCCACTCCATTGTGAAGGCTTTCCTGATCCCAGGGCATAATTACTCTAACCTCAGAGTGTTCTCTATAGCTCTTTACTGATACATCTTTTCAATTCTGCTTTGCTGTCTGTTTCTTCACTCCTACTGCATTTAAAATCCTTGAAGACAGGAACTGTGTATTAAGTAGGCCTTGGTCCTGCAAAGTGCCTATCACAGTGTTTTCCACACAGTAAGCGCTCAATACTTGTTTGGAGATTGAAGGAATGAATGAATCATGTATACTTGGCCCTCCCTATCCAGGGGTTCCGCTTTCATGGATTCAATCAACGACAGATCAAAATATTTTTTAAAGCAAATAAAAAAATACAACGATTAAAAATGACAGAAATAATATAGTATAACAATTATTTACATTGCATTTACATTGCATTAAGTATTGTAAGTAACCTAGAGATGATTTAAAGTACAAAGGAGGATGTACCTAGGTTATACGCAAATACTACTTTTATATAAAGAACCTGAGCATCTTCAGATTTTGGTATATGTGGGGTCCCAATCCTGCCCCCTTACTGAGGCACAGCTGTATATCATTTTGAAGATTACAGGGCCATCAAGTGCAGGGCCATTTGCTACTTTTTGTATACTCAGCACTTAATGTCGTGGGTGGTGTCCAATATTAATATTCACTGTAAATAAGCTTGTAGCATTTCATATGTGCATATTTTAAATGCCACTGAACCTACTAGGTATTTTTTACACAATTCTGGTTACATTTTTATGCACTTCCACTAAATCAATAAACTCTTTGGGGCAGGAATTGTGCCTTCTCTGTATTTGCGCCTTTATTCTCCCAGATATTTGTTTTACATATAAATTACTGAGGTAAAATAAAAATATTTGATGGTTCTTAGATTCGAAAGTTACTCAGATACTCTCACATTTATTAGATACATATCACTGTGCTAAGCAATATGGGAATATGGGTTCATATATGCATACATAGCAGAATTGTGTAAACATAGTTTGTTATGGATTTGGATATGCTCTGAAGGAAGGGATATATTTTGGGAAGTAATAACCACATCCAGCTATCCAGCAAGTCTTTGACATAACTCAGTAATACTTAAGTAGGACTCAATCTTGTCCTTTAGAATTGCCATTATACAAGTGTTTTCACTGTCTTTATTTGCATATTGTTTTTTATTGTATTTGAAGAGGATGGTAAGGGCAACTCTCTGGGTGGAGTGGTAGAGCCAGAAGGCTGAAAAGAAAACTGATAGTCATCAAATCATAGACAATTAGAGTCAGAGGGGCTAGAAGATTACAGTAGTGGATCCAACTCCCCTATTGCACAGATGAGAAAACAGGCTCAAGTGCACACGCTTGCCTTTGTACCCCATGGTGCTCAATCTTTGGGAGCCTGCAATCAAAAAGAAGACCTCACAGGTGAAAGGAAGCAGTTTTCTGGCTGTTTTTCTTTGAAGGGTCTCTTCTGTTTGCACTGTTCCAGAACACACCTGTTGGATTCCTGTCAGAGCTTAGCAAGTGCACGCTTATTTATACCACCAATGACATCATTCATTCATCTTGGAAGCCGTAGTGCTCTCCCCCACAGGTTCTCAGCAGTTACTAAGATGTCCCCTGATTTCATTGACCTCTGTGTGTCTTCAGTCCTTGACCTTTAAGGCTCCCTGGTGCCAGAATGTCTGCAGCTGTAGGATCAAAGACCCTTGGGGGAAAAATCCATTCTCAAAAGAGAGGAAGATGGGGTGAGTTACTAGGAAAACCACCTATATGCCCCAGAGCCTTTGTTCATCTGGAAAATGCCTGAACTGTATTCCGAGTATAAACATCAAGCCCTAAGACCGAAACACAGCACAAGTCAGAAACAGAGTTGATATTAAAGCTCAGGTCTCCTGCCTGCCAGTCCAGAGCCACATTCTGTCTGTCTTCTAAAAGAACTTGATGTGTCTCATACAAAGTAAGTCCTCAGTAAATATCTTTGAACTAGATGAATGAATGAGGTGGCATATAATGACAGATACAAATACAGCAAAATTTTCAAGATAAGAGCAAAAGACAAAGCAGTAATTTAAACATAAAAGACAAGGTTAGACCTTTTAGTGTACGTCCTAGATTTAAATCTAAATTCTGTTGCCAGCTTCCTGGCAGGCAAAGCAGAAAGGGCAATGCACTGGACTTGACCAAGATCTCATTGCATAAGAGACATAGCACTCCAGAGCATCACATGTTTTCCTCACTTTTATATCTCTGAGAGAAATGAGTCTTGTGGGAAATCTTACTATACCAAAGTGTTGTTTATATCTTGAGAACATGTGAAGATTCTTCCTTGGTGTACAGCCAAAGTGCTTCTTTGCAACAGTTTAGTCCCCTTCCCAAGTGTTGGTTGTTCAAAGAGAATAACTTCATTTTGGTTACCATTCCCCTGCTGCCTGCAACTGCTGTTTCTAAACCTCAGCCAAGACCCATTGTTTAAGTGGAACCTCAGAACATTCTTAAAATATTTCCTAAGCACTCTCTAGTTATAGATGTCCTTCCTCTGCTAGTCTTACAAAGCTAGATGCTAGGATATTTTTGCAATCTATTATACTTAGCACAGTTTATAATCCTTGGCTTTGTTATCTCAGGCACCCCCTTAAGAATCCCTTAACAAATAAAGTAACCTGAGTAGAATAAAATCCTTGTTGATTGATTGATCTGAGCTTTGCCGTGCACTCAGCCCAATCTCGCTTTGCAGCTCTCTGCTGTGGCTCCCTCCCGCCCAGGCCATCCATTCCATTTAGACATTCTCTCCTGTTTATGGCCAAGCTCCATATTTTTCCTCCTGTTTTTCACTATGTCTATGATATTGTCCATCTCCATATCTGAAATCATAATTCAACTTTGAGCATATTTTCCTGATGAAATTTGCCAAACAAAGCATGTGAAAGCTCGTACACATTAAATTCACTTGAAACACTCACACATATTTCTTTTAGTCCCAGAATTTTCTACATTCAATTAATTGACTCCTTTGTTTTATGGGTGAGAGAATGGAAACCCAAAAAAGTAAAATGATTTGCTTTTCAGTCCTTATCCTGGTAAGTATTTAACCTGTTCAAACGTCTTTGTTATGTTTACTTTAATATTATCTTTATTTTGTGGACTGGGAGATTTCATTTCCCAATTCATTGCATCTTGACCCCTGGCTGGCATCCTGCATATTCTTTTTTTTTTTTTCTTTTTTTTTTTTTTGAGACAGAGTTTTGCTTTTGTTGCCCAGGCTGGAGTGCAGTGGTGCAATCTCGGCTCACTACAACCTCTGCCTCCCAGTTTCAAGTGATTCTCCTGCCTCAGCCTCCCGAGTAGCTGGGAATACAGGCGCCTGCCACTGTGCTTGGCTAATTTTTATATTTTTAGTAGAGATAGGTCTTCACCATGTTGGCCAGGCTGGTCTAGAACTCATGACTTCAGGTAATCCACCCACTTCGGCCTCTCAAAGTGCTGGGATTACAGGCATGAGCCACTGCACCTGGCATGCATATTCTTAATTTTTAATAAATTAATGAACTAAGTGAAATTAGAATTATTTTATATTCTATTGCAACCTAAGAAAAAAATGAATGAATTAATAAATTAGGGTCACTTTAAAGTAAAAATAAAATATATAAAATATTTTGGTCACTTGAGTATTTCAAGGCAGAATTGATAACATAAATTTTTTCGTTTTTCTAAATCAGTTTTATCATTGTAACATATCAATTATGAATACCTTTCTTCACCTACCAATTCTGACAACCTTTTCTATTGAAAATATCTATTTTTTTAATGCTATGATTTAAAAAAATCATCATAAAGACTCTATCCTCATAGGTAAATTATATCTTCTAGGATGTCGAATGAGCAATGCAAGTCTTATTTTTAAGAAATAGATTTATAGAATAGAAAAACAATGCAGTCTTTGCAGGAGCTTCTACAAACAGGAGATGTGAGAAGTGTTCAAAACAAAGACCGGGTCATCTTTAAAAATATAGGAAGTTTTGATCTTTCTCCTTGCCTAGAGCAAGGTGAAAGGGTAGATTCTTAAACTAAGTCTGATCTGTATATTTAAGTTAAACAACACTTTCAACATGTATGGGCAAGCAGAAGCATTATTCAAATGGTAAAAAATACAGGCTCCAGATTTTGTAACTATACGAATATATCATGCAAAATAAATACCTTTTTCTCCCTCCTAGGTTTAACTATAGGAAAAAGAATCCTTAAAAAGGAATGATTCAATGGTGTAAGAATGCAAATTTGGCAAAGTAATAAAACGCTAGTAATTCTGGACATTTTACATTCTTGCCTATAACTGAAAGTTCTGTACTTCTTTCTAGGGTTGGTATGCTTCCCAGCCTTATAACCACTGATACTTTTGACAGATCTTGGAAAGAGTGACTCATTTATGAAGACGCACAACATTTAAGAAAACAACCACAGGATAATGAGGGAAAGGTGTGACGACTAGGCTTGTGTTTTGACTAATCTTGGGGAAATATATAAGCCTTTCAGATATTCGCTAATTTCTCCAGGAAAGAGCATATTTGTCACTGCAAGTCCCATCCAATTACTGTGAAATGATTTATAGAAGCACTCTTGATTCGTGAGGGCTGACACCTAGCCACTCAACTGCCATAGAGAGCTTAAATCTGTTTGGCAAACCTAGGACAATATCTAGAAACATTGCTTAGATATATAAATCTATCAAGGATACTAGGAATTTACATTTCTGAAGTCATAACTTTGATTTTTTTTTTTTTGCAATAGAAACTTCTCACCCCTGCTTGCTCTCGTTCACTGAAGTAAAAGTGTCTTAGTAGTTTGTTTTGAAATGGAAAAAAAGTATTAAGGAGTTGTTCTCTTCTATCATGTTTGCAGTTATTGCTTGATGGATTCTGCTAACTCCCAGGAGAATCCAAGTGGGAGGACAAGTAGAAGAAAAAAGAGTCCAAAGGCTGGAGCCCTCAGTTTGTTGTTTATGGAACATTCCTGCAGTCCCCAGAAGGGGCATGGTAAGTGGACTAGACACCCAGTTTCGGGCATTACTCATCGGGCACCCAGACACTGGAACAGAGGTATGTAGCAGAAGCCCAGTTATCTAAACCCAGTCATAAAGGCAGAGATGGAGAAGCAAGAGTGGTTTGATGTGGAGTCTCAGTGTGTTGACTTAAGCCCTTAAACTCTTCTGGCTTCGATTCAGGTCTCTAAACTGGTTTTTAAGAGCTGGAGCAGGTCCGTCTGCATGTGGAGTCCAGGTCAAGGTCTACCATATGGGAGGCCAGTAGTGTCACTACAATTGTACAATTTGCACAAAAGCACCTGGCCAGGCTGAAACCTAGCCCAGGGCTCCTGTTCTCCAAACCACGTGTTTCACACAGCCTGTGTTGTCTCATCAACACCACCTTTTTGTAAATCTGAAAAGATTCCCTATGTGCCTGGGGTGACCTGCCAGGAGGCTCATTTGTCCCAGGACTCACAATTAGGCAGCTCCCTAAATTTATACTTCTGGAGATACCCCCAAGATATGTTATTCCTACAGTCAGAGAGATACTTAAGATTGAAAGCACGAAACTGGTTCATCGTTCACTTAAACCTATGCCCTATTGTAAGACAACCTATCACTTGTGGTGTAACATTTGTGTGAATCAGAAAAAGGCAGATACAGCCCTGCACCAGGTTTGGCAATTGTGAACCAGATTTTAATCCCCGCTCTTCCCCTTGGTCGACCTGCACAGTCATACCAGGTAGCTCTGCCTAGATGTCACTTTAAAAAATAAATCTGGAAACTATTTTGTAAATTGCAAGCTTATATTACACATATTTTTTGTTGTAGAGTGTTAATTGCTTTAATAATGAAAAATCACACAGTTTTTATAACTAAGTTTTAGCATATCTTCATTTAAAAATATACCAGGACTATTAAAAAAAATGGAAGTGGGCTTGGTCTCTCGCTCTCTCTTTCTCTCTCGCTTCACCTTTGAGAAGGCCCAGCCAAGGAAGAGCAGGGAAGGAGGCTGGAGCTGGAGGCTTGCAGGCTTGACACCTTCCACTCCAAATATTGGAGATAACTGAGGCTGCCTGTCATCTCTAATAATTTTTCCTCCAGGAAATGTCATTGCTTCATTGCATTGCAAGAAAATGATGTCATAGTATAGGGCCCTGATCCGTTTCCTGACTTTTAACCTGAGTCTCATAACCTTTTTCAACTGTACTGAACCCAGAGAAAATGAAACACATCGAAATGCGAAGACCAGCACATCTCATAAAGGCCTTTGAGGCCCCAGGGTGGGGTTAACTTATGCGTATATATTAATGATCAAAATACAGTCTTGTTTGGGTGTCACATCCTGGTTATGGCATGGACCCAGTACCTAGGAAATGGAAAGGAAATAGGCTTCAGGATGTGTCTGTAATTTCTTGGCAGAAACCCTTCCTCTTCCTATATTGGGTTTAATTAGTAGTGACAATGTTAAATTTAATTAGGATGTCTTGCTTGTGTTTTCTTCTGTTGGTGGTTTTTGTTGTTAAACTCCCTGTGAAAATCAAGAATGGTCCCTGAACTGATATTTGAAATCTTACATGCTGCATTTGTGTCTCCACATCTTAGGACTGGTTACAAGCCCAGCCCAAATGACATTATGGAGCTATTTCCTGGAATGTCAAGGGC
The DNA here is from genome assembly GCF_000001405.40 of Homo sapiens. Taxonomy (NCBI): domain Eukaryota; kingdom Metazoa; phylum Chordata; class Mammalia; order Primates; family Hominidae; genus Homo; species Homo sapiens. Next base: position 171,874,607 of record NC_000003.12, on the reverse strand, counting down.
TGAAATTGCCCTGTCAAGAATGAGTCTGTTCTTTCAGGGATTTCAGAAAGCAAGGGCTCAAATTGCATTCTTGCTCTGTTATTATAAGTTTTTCCTGGCAGGAAACCACTGGGTCTCAGAAAATTTGCATATATCCAATGAGAGTGATCTACTGTTCTATGGAGGTTTTCAAGATTGCATGACAACACCGTGGAAGAATCTCATATGGGAAAAGGGGATTTTTTTCCCCCTTTCCCTAAGCCCCATTTTAAATAGTTTCCTTCCCGCAAGCTGATGTGTCCACATTCAAAGAGTTATAAGTAACCCAGCCCATTTTCCTGCCTTGGCCTCTGCCACTGGTTCTATAATATCAACAGCCACACAAAACTGGAAGCAGGTTGTTTAAAGTAAAGATGCTTATTCCTTCCAGTCTGTGAAACAGACTTTTGTGGCATATGAAGGCAAGAAATAACCTTTTAGTTCTCCCAGGCAAGGGCACAGCAAAATGACTCTTCATTTCTTGTTAACTGTAAGGGCAAGAAATACCCCCACATATTTCATGATATCTGAATATAATTTTTAATGTTATACCTGGGATTTCGGTTAACCTAAAAGACATGGTACTGGACTACTTCACTTGGTACCATAAAAGTTTTGTATCTGTTTGTACTCCTCAGAATTGTGTACAAAAATATTAAAGTAATTCAGATAATATACTGACACATTTGAAGTCCCTACTTGTGTAATCACCAGACCCAGGACTAGATATTTTATTGCTCCATTAAAGTGACAAATAAACATGTGTTGACTGAAGAGCCAGGGGCTGGGAGGCACTTACAGGACTTCCAGACACCAATCACAGGACTTCCTTTTATGTCACAGGAATCCAGTGAAGAATGACTCAAGTAACTGCATCATGCTCACATTATTTGAGCATTCGTACCCATTATTGGGTGTTCTGGTTATTTATTTGCTTATATTTGCTTTCTTATTTATATCCCACTCTGTTCTGAAGAAATTTAAGGTGACCACTGGGCATTTTATCAAGAATTGGAGCTCAGGCTGCTAAGGCATCAATTGTAGGACCAGCTGTGTGCCTTTGAACATGTCACTTAGCCTCTCTGAATATCGGATTTTTCATCTGTAAAATGAAGGTATTTAACAGTTTCATGTCTAGAGTGTTATATGTAAACTTTTTTCTCAACTTGTTAATTATCAAACGCATGGACTCTATGTAGACTGTTACTCAAAGGCATCCAATAAATGCGTTGCATGACTCTATAACACTACACGCCGATTTTGAGTGCTCACAGTATGTTGGATTTTCTGCTCTGTGCTTTACCTATGGGGTATCATTGAATTCTGTCAGCACGCCTGTGAATTAGCTGCCCCCATCAGCTCCATCTGACCAGGAGAAAACTGAGGGGTTGCCCTAAGATCACAGAGGGCCAGGATCTGGGTTTCTGGGCCAGGGGTTCCTCATTCCAAAGCCCCACCCACTTTCTACTATAGGACATCTGTGCATCCCAGACTTTAGTGTGCATCATTGTCATCTGGAGTTCAACTTCCTAAACCAGATTGATGAGACCCAAGCCCACACTTTCCAGTTCATGCAAGTTCCCAGGTGATGCCGATGCTGCTGGTCTGGGGACCACAATCTGAGAACCACTGCATTATGCTATAAAGAACTACAGTTGCAGGACCAAGACATAAAGAATGTAAGAAGCAGATCTCTAACCAAATGAAGAAAGAACCTGGACATTTCGAGCTACTTAATAGCTGAATGGGTTGCCTCTTGGGAATGGCTGAACTGTAAGGGGCATATAGACCTTGGGACATTTGATGAGAAGTTGGCCTAACGGACCTTGAAGGTGCCTTCTAACTATTAAACTGTCATGAGTGCCAAAGACAAGAGACAGAGAGTCTAGGAGGGAGGGTCACACTCCCTATGCAGAAGGCCCTTCTCATTACGGCACAATTCAGTGTTTTAACTGTGCTTTGAAGATTTTGAGTCACTTTGGTAATGGCAATGAAGAAAAGCTGAGAAAAACGTTTCCTCAATTTAGGTAATACGGAATTACAGTTTAATGAAACACCACACAAGGAACAAGAGAAACTTCAAGACAACATTCATTCACTGTAAATTTATATTTCGAATTTTAAAATTTCTATAACGATAATAATATAATTTCAATTTTTATGTCATAATATATAAATCAGAAAAAAGTTAATTTTAAAAGGCTAACATGTAAAACTATTTAAATTTTTATTTTATAAGGACATAGAGGGAAAGAGTTTAAAGATCAAAATTATTTTGTAAATATTTCAAAATAAAGATCACATATAAGGCAAATTTAGGAGGAACACTGCTCCAAATTTACTGTCCATTCTTTTGACCCCAGGAAGAAAAAAAGAGACGTGTTTATTTCTATAGTTTATCAAAGAAAAGAAAGTGTCTCTTCTGACATTTAATTTAGCCTTTTTTTTAATGTCATAGGAACCCAGGGAAGGATGACTCAGACAACTGCATCATGGTCCTACTTAAGGATTTAAGAGGAATCAACAGAGAACAAAATTGGTGGTAGTGGTGACAGGGGGTGGCAGAAAGATATAAAAAAGAAATACATGTGTAATGAAATAATCTGGCATAATCATAAAACAGGAAAAGCCATCACTTTCGTGGATGCGCCTGTCTAAGGAAGCGGGAAAGCTCTCTGTTGAATACTCTTGTTGGTCATTTGCTGTTAGTTTTGTCTGGTTTGGATTGGGTTGGAGGTTTTCAAAAATTAACAGAAGGTTAAAGGGCACTATGCAAATTCTTTGATAGGGAGCCAAGAATTTAAATTTCATTAGGAGTGAGGGGGAGGAATATTTCTTGAGCACCTATCAATTGTATGCCCTGTGTCGGACTCTTATGAGAAATTATATCCTTTTCATTCTTGCAACGTGTGAGGTAGGGGTTATCTCCATTTTATAAATGGGGAACCTTAGGCTCAGAGAGGTTTGCTATCAGTTTGCTCAAGGCTAGTCAGATGATTAGTAACAGAAGAGATAATTAAACCTCAAACTGTCTGACTTCAGAAGTGCCACCGCACACCAGGTTCTCCATGTCTCATAAATAATGGTGAAAACAATTCTTCTCCGACAAACCACTGCTCTTTGGCATGGAAATGCAAATCCACTTTTTCTCTCTACCCTTTCTTGGAGAATTCTTAGATTCCATGGTACATTCCCTATGACATGTAAGTTGATTTTAGATTTGAAATACTCCTGCTGTAAGTTTAGGTAAGATTTAAGCTATGGCTAGGAAGACATAAAATGAAATGTAGTATTGCAATCTGCTACTCTTTTGACCCCCACACTCCCCGTCCGACCTTTCCTAGTCTCTTTTTTATTTTACACTGCACTTACCCTCTTCTAATATACTGTTTAATTTTTTATGTTTATTATTTATTCTGTGTTCTTCTGCTTGAAAATAGACTCCACATTTTTTGTCTGTTTTCTTCATAGATGCATATCAAGTTTCTAGAAAAGGGATCAGCAAACTTTTCTGTAATGGGCCACACGATGAATATTTTAGGTATTGTGAGCTATGCAACTTCTGTTGCAACTATTCACCTCTACCATTGTGGTGTTAAAGCAGCCATAGACAATATATAAACAAGTGATCATGGCTATGTTCTAATACAAGTTTATTTACAGGCACTGACATTTGAGTATGATATAATTTTCATGTGTCATAAAATTTTTAGTTTTTTCCCAATTATTTAAAAATATACAAACTATTTTTAGCTTGCAGGTCATATAAAAACAGGTGGATGGCAAGTTGGGGCCCTTGGGCTATAGTTAGTTTGCAAACCTCTGGTCTAGAAAATCATACCTGGTACCTATTACTAGTATGTGATCAGAAAATAGAATTTATTGAAGTTATTCCAATAATAAACATTATATCCCATTATCTACCTGAATCAGAGACTAGCTCACCATCCCAAGAAACAATAGGTAGCTCAGGCAGCACTCCAATGCATCCCTCATGTCTATGGGAATGGCTGCTGCTGCAGGGCAGGACTGAATTTACTAAGACACAAATTGTTTGACTAGACGAGACCTCTGAGAGTATCTGAATGGCACTTCTCAACTGCTGGTGGCCACACCCCTGGGAGACAGAGAAGACCTTTTACAAAAAAAGTTATTGCATCGTTAAAAGCTTTAGAATGTCTATTTTAATTTCAATTTAAACGTTAACAATAAATCAATTTGCTTTTGAAGAATCCTTTGGGGCCGGGTGCGGTGGCTCACACCTGTAATCCCAGCACTTTGGGAGGCTGAGGCAGACAGGTCATGAGGTCAGGAGTTCAAGACCAGCCTGACCAACACGGTGAAACCCCGTCTCTACTAAAAATACAAAAAATTAGCTGGGCATGGTGGCAGATGCCTGTAATCCCAGCTACTCAGGAGGTTGAGGCAGGAGAATCGCTTGAACCCGGGAGGTGGAGCTTGCAGTGAGCCGAGATCGCGCCACTGGACTCCAGCCTGGGCGACAGAGCCAGACACAATCTCAAAAAAAAAAAAAAAATTCTTTGGGAATATCAGGTGGGTGTTGGTTTATTTCTCATTTGAACATTGTTTTATACTACAACTGTTTTAAACTATCATCCATTTTTAATTGTCTTCTTTTCCTAATTCATATAATCATCATGGTATTTGTTTGTTTGTTTTGCAATGGAGTCTTACTCTCTGGCCCAGGCTGGAGTGCAGTGCTGTGATCTCGGCTCACTGTAACCTCTGCCTCCCGGTTCAAGTGATTCTCCTGCCTCAGCTTCCCGAATAGCTGGGAATGCAGGCATGCGCCACCATGTCCAGCTAATTTTCGTATTTTTAGTAGAGATGGGGCTTCACCATATTGACCAGGCTGGTCTCAAACTCTTGACCTCAAGTGATCCGCCCACCTTGGCCTCCCAAAGTGCTGGCATTACAGGTGTGAGCCCATAATGGTCTTTGGAAATAGACAGATGGTATGTGGAACACTGATGTTGAAAAACGAACATTGATGTTGAAACAAAAAGCATAAAAATGATAATAATTTTCCCAATGTTCTTCAAGATTATCTTCACCAAACCCCTATGTTGCATTCATCTGCTTAGCATTCGAAGTACATCAGAATGTATCTCATAGTTCTGTGTTAAAAAGAAAAAATAAGCTGGATGTGGTGGTACACACCTGTAGTCCCAGCTACTTGGGAGGCTGAGGACTGGATTGCTTAAGCCCAGGAGTTTGAAGCTGCAGTGAGCTATGATTATGCCACTGCCTTCCAGTCTGGGTGACAGAGCAAGACCCAGTCTCAAATATATGTGTATATATATATACACACACACATATATATATACACACATACATACTTATATAGGCATATATATATACACATACATGCATATATATTTATATTTATATAAGATTATATGTGATTTAGTTTTACTTTTTTTCTTTTCTTTTTTTTTTTTTTCCTTTTGAGATGGAGTCTTACTCTGTTGCCCAGTCTGGAGTGCAATGGCATGGTCTCAACTCACTGCAACCTCCACCTCCTGGGTTTCTGTACCTCAGATTCTCCTGCCTCAGCCTCCCGAGTAGCTGGGATTACAGGTGCTCACCACCATGCCCAGCTAATTTTTGTATTTTTAGTAGAGATGGGGTTTCTCCATGTTGGCCAGGCTGCTCTTGAACTCCTGACCTCAGTCAGGCCTCCCAAAGTGCTGGGATTACAGTCGTCAGTCACCGTGCCCGGCCTGATTCAGTTTTTCATTCATTGTCACTGAAGTCTAGCAATATCAGCAAGGTGCTATTCGCAAAGAAATGCCCACAAATACTAACTTGATACTTTTTCTCATATCCCTATTTGTTTATTTATAAAACAAATCAGATGTAATAATTACAAACCTTAAATCATATAATATATTTTAGTTGATTTTTGATTGAGTGTAACACATAGTTAAATGTAATTCTAAAGTTTAGTATACTTTGGCCTCCTAAAGTATACAAAATCCTAAACATAACACAATGTTAACTATAACATTTGTCCAAAAAATCATGTTTTTATGACATATTCAGTTTAATCTTAATTAAATAGAATGGTACTTGTTAAATGGAAAAAGTACAAATTTACCTAACTATATTATGAATATTATAAATATTATATTAAATTTTGTGTTACAATCTTTTAAAACAACTTTGTACCATAATAAAATGATGCAATTTTTTAGCTGAGAGTTTTTATGAGATTATTATTATGAAAGGGGCTTTAAACCACAGAATGATAGGAAATACTGGTCTAGTCCACTTTGTTTTATAGATGAGTTAACCAAGACCCTGAAAAGGAAGTGGATGGCTCAGTCCGTTAAAATTAAGCCTAGGCTTCTTGACCAACTAGCAAAGCTTCATATTACGTAACTCTAGGGGGCGCTGTTCAAATTGTTGTGGTGCCATTTTCATAGACTAATGAGATCGGTGGTCTCCGGAGTTGTGCAGTGCAATGGCCTTGGCTTTTAGTTACTCAATGCTTAATCTGTGAAAATCCCTGTTGTTAATCTTGCTTAGGTATTTTCCTGAAGTTTTCAATATATTATTTGCAAGACCTCTAAGTTCTTAATTTCTTTCTTCCAAACTGAGGCCCACATGAGAAAAGGCAATAAAGAAGCATTGGCAGCTGGGCGCGGTGGCTCACACCTGTAATTCCAGCACTTTGGGAGGCCGAGGCAGGTGGATCACGAGGTCAGGAGTTTGAGACCAGCCTGTGCAATATGGTGAAACCCCATCTCTACTAAAAAAAAAAAACAACACACAAAAATTAGCCAAGTGTGGTGGTGCGTGCCTGTAGTCCCATCTACTCGGGAGGCTGAGGCAGGAAAATCGTTTGAATCCAGCAGGCAGAGGTTGCAGCGAACCGAGATCACACCACTGCACTCCAGCCTGGGCAGCAGAGACTCCGTCTCAAAAAAAAAAAAAAAAAAAAAAAAAAAAAAAAAAAAGCATTAGTTCACTTGACAGTTAATCAGATTGTATTTTTCTTTTTAAATCAGGCCTTATGCTGGGGGCTACACATCAGAGTTGAACTGTCATGCTGTCTGCCCTCAAAAAGTTTGAAATTGGTCAAGAAGCAATATATCAAGAACATGATAAGGGTGTACTATTAGGGATCTGCCATAGACTGCAATGCTGGCACAAAGGAAGAAGTGATCTGTTCTGTCCGGGGATGGTTGAAAGAAGAAAAGCCTCACAGAGAAGGTAACACTGTTTGCCATGGGAGATTTAATAAAAGAAAAGCAGAAATTAGTTGTAAATAAAATTGGCCTAGATTAAAACTGTCTTATAGTCCACACCATTCAGTGCTAGATTTATTATAAATTCAAAGCAAGGTATCATTTGTATCCGATATGTGACCAGGATTAACTGGAGAGTATTCAGGAAAAGCTTCCGTACCTCTTTGTCTAGAGTGGTAGGCAGGAGGCCTCTAATTTCCTCTACTAAGTTCTTACAATGCCTTTTGATTAATGATGAGATGTGAAACTGAGTATTTACCCTCAGTGACAAGAGTGTGACCCGCATTAAATCCAATCACTTTGTCTGGGTCTCTTATAGGCCTGAAACTTTTAGCATCTTTCTGGGTTCCTCTCCTGTCCCATGTGCTGTTACCAAGTCCTGTGGAGTCTACCTTCTAAATGTCTCTCAAAGGTATCACCTCGGCTGGGCGCGGTGGCTCACTCCTGTAATCCCAGCACTTTGGGAGGCTGAGGCGGGCAGATCACGAGGTCAGGAGATCGAGACCATCCTGGCTAACACAGTGAAACCCTCTCTCTACTAAAAAATACAAAAAATTAGCCAGGCGTGGTGGCGGGCGCCTGTAGTCCCGGCTACTCTAGAGGCTGAGGCAGCAGAATGGCGTGAACCCGGGGGGCGCAGCTTGCAGTAAGCCAAGATTGCGCCACTGCACTCCAGCCTGGACGACAGAGCCAGACTCTGTCTCAAAAAAAAAAAAAAAAAAAAAAAAAGGTATCACCTCCTCTCCATACCCACTGTTGCTGACTAATTCAGATCCTGTTATTCTTCATCTGTTCTCTTGGTCCTCCTGGCCCAAGCCTCATTTCCCTTTAATCCCTGTAAGTCAATGGCAGGCAGGATGTGTCTTGCTCATATTTCTGTCTCTAACCTTTAGCTAGATATCAGGCACATAATATATACCCAATAAATGTTGAGGAGCAAGTATGAATAATAAATATTGTATTTAGGCTTTGGGTTCACAATCTGTGACACATGACAAGAGAAGAGTCATGCTCTAGTGAACAGAAGATACTCCTCTTGTCAAAGGCATTAATTTCAGTCCAGCACCTTGTAATTTCATTGCTCTATCAGCTTTTCTTTTCAGCTATCAAATTAGGTTTGTTATATGATGTAAGTGAGGAAAAACATTTAAAAACAATTTTTTGACCAGGCACGGTGGCTCAACTCCTGTAATCCCAGCACTTTGGGAGGCCAAGGCGGGCAGATCACGAGGTCAGGAGATCAAGACCATCCTGACCAACATGGTGAAACCCGTCTCTACTAAAAATGCAAAAATTAGCTGGGTGTGGTGGCATGCGCCTGCAATCCCAGCTACTTGGGAGGCAGAGGCAGGAGAATTGCTTGAACCCAGGAGGCAGAGATTGCAGTGAACTGAGATCATGCCACTGCACTCCAGCCTGGCTACTCCATCTCAAAAAAATAAAAGATTTTTTTTTGTAAATAAACTGAAATTTTATACGTAAATAATATAAAAGGTTTTTTTTAGGACTGCAATTAGCTTGTTATGACAGATTGAATATTGAGCAAAGAAAGATGCTGCCCTAAAGTGGTTAAAGTGATCTGGGAATCTGTGATAGCTCTCACATGAGTAACATTCCCAGCACGTACTGTGTCTTGAGCTAACATAGCAACACGGTGATGTGGTCAACACCAGGGACACATCAGTGTGGCTTAGGACAGGTAGAGAGCCAGCTGTTCCATTCTTTAAAAATTATCTTTTTCACTTGCTTTATGTAGTACCTCCTTGATGCTAATCTACTCAAATGGAATGAAGTTTCATTTCAAAGTCACGGATTAGGACAGATCTGGAAAGGTCCTTGGAGGTTGGCTGGGGTCTGAGAGATGAGGAAGCTCAAGTCCCTGATACCTGATTTGTGCAGCAATGAGCTGCCAGCTTGTCTACATAGTCCCTTCTGGCTTCTCTGGCCAGTCTGGGAGGGGAAGTGTCATTGTGTCATTCCTCACCCCACACCCCGCCATTGTTTTCACCCTAATTACTTCCTCTGTTTCTCTCTCTTCTTTCCTATGGGAAAACCCAGACATCCAGCAATAGGCCTCAAGTCTTCTCCTCTTTAATTAGTAAAATTTACAGTATCAAACCAACATTGTTACATTCTAAAAGGTATTGTACTCACATGTTAGCACCATTGTAACCATTCAGATATATCATCAATATACATGCCATTTTCTCTGCATTCTTTCATGGCTATAGAAAATGGAGACTTCTGCTTTTTACTCAAGTTTCTGCTCTTGTATAAAACAAACGCTTTTTATTTGTTTCAAATATATTTAGTTGTTTTAAATATGTTATATTTAATATCTATTCAAAAACATATTTATGGCCAGGCGTGGCCGTTCACGCCTGTAATCCCAGCCCTTTGGGAGGCCAAGGCAGGTGGATCACCTGAGGTCAGGAGTTCGAGACCAGCCTGGCCAACATGGTGAAACCCCGTCTCTACTAAAAATACAAAAATTAGCTGGGCATGACGGTGCATGCCTGTAATCCCAGCTACTTGGGAGGCTGAGGCAGGAGAACCTCTTGAACCCAGGAGGCAGAGTTTGCAGTGAGCTGAGATGGTGCCACTGCACTCCAGCCTGGGTGACAGAGTGAGACTCTGTCTCAAAAAAAAATTATTAATAATAACATTTTAGATTCAGATGGGGAAGCAAAGGAAAAAACCCACTACAATATGTTATATTAAAAGGGTAAATTGACTGCATGTCAAGAGGAAAATATGTTAAGCCTCATGATAATTTATAAAGTAAAAAATACAAAAAGCAGTTCTCAGGATCCTGACCCCTCCCCACCTACCACTCCCTCTTTGACAAAATATCAAACTTACTTTAATACATTACAATAAACACTTCAGTATCATTTCCTCTCTCAGCAAGTTGCTATCACCCTTGGTGTGGTCCCAGTGATTAAATGAAATGCAAATATCCTGGAAAAATAGCCTTCATTTCTAAAATATGAATGTTAGTTTTTGTTTGTGAGCAACGTAAGAAAGATTTTCCAAGAGAAGCATGACGATGCCAGGTCAGTAGGTGGGACTCACATGGGACTGCTGATATACCACCTAAAGGAGGTGACACAGTCCAGCAGCCGGGAGCCTGCACCCCAGACTTTGTGAGACCTGAGACTGAATTCTTAGTTCTACATGGCTGTCTCAGTGCCCTCATCTGTGAAATGGGCATAGTGAACTTTGGAGTGATGTGAGGAATAAAAGAGGTACAGCACCTGACAAACAGTAGCTGCCCAATAAATGACACCTACAATTCTTCCTCTTTTATCCAGTTTTATGTCACTGTTATTATGTCAGAGAAACAGAAGTAGTAATGCCCTGCATTGTGATTCTTTTTCCAGCTTCTGATTTCTCTACTGACCAATGTGAGGAGACTTCCTAACACAATTTGTGAGGAAGAAATACAATGAGTTATTATTGTTCTCTGGTCCTGCATGAGTTCTAATTGGATCTACGAAAGGGGGATTAGTTCCAAGAGCATCAGAAAGACCTTACTATAGCCGAAACTGAGGCCCCAGACCTTTAGGGTGAGAGTCATAGATGAATTCATTTCAAAGCACATTCATATTGCAATGATCCAGTGTAAGTCCCTTGGAAGATTTGGGGCCAGCATGATGCTGCTCATTTGTCTTCTGTTGGGCGGGAGAGGGTCCTCCACTGACAAATATTCTGCCTCCGTATGTTTTGGGATTGCATTTCAAGGTTTAACTACATCTCTTATGTGAAGCAAATATTTCTCAGTTCATTGAAAAAAGTAAAACCACTGTATCACATGACGAGAAGGAAATATTTTCTTTCCCCCTTTCATTAAAAAAGACACAAAACACAACACCGAATAATGAAAGGAAAACAAACAGGGCCATTCCATTCCGTGGAGGAGGGGCTGAGTAGCCGCAGGGGACAGCTGCATTGTGTCTGGCATCCCAATTCTTTCCTTTCCCATCACTTTATTACTTATTGGACGAAGAATGTAGACAATTCCGGCTATGGTTGTTTTGCATTTTCGTTCCTCGACTTAAACTCTGTGTTATGCGTGTTTGCCCCCTATGCTGGGTCTTGGAGCTGACAGAGTCACTTCAACATTCTGCATGGAGCCTTCTGAGCAGGTGGCTGTTATTCCCTTCTCAGCCCCCACCCCTTCCTGTGAGGCCTTGGACAGTCGCAAGGACTCACACGCCCCTTTGTGTTTATCAAAGTCATCAAACCTTTCATGTCTCTTTCAAGCATTTCTCTCTGTGGTTGTGGTTGGGTACCAATTGACAGAACATTCACACACCTTCACTGTGTGAACTTTAACAAGATGACCTGGATTCTACCAAAACAAGGCAACACAGGGAGGAAAGAAATAATGGATGTGGTGGTTCCTTAGGGGGTGCTTGATTCATTTCTGAAAACATATTTTTCAACGTATAGAAAAAAACTCTTAGAAGTGAATATTTTTCATTATAATATTGACTGATACGTATGGATCTTAAAAACAATAGTTGACTTTGTTCCACAGTTCATGACAGTACAAATACAAAATGACCACTTTTCCAAATCTTTTTGTAAACCATCACTTTTGTTTACAAACTTTCATGACTCTTGAATTTTCTGATATGCACAAAATTTACATTAAAAATGTTAATTTTCAGGGTGACACTTAAAAGTGCAGCTTTTTAATACACTGTCGATGTTTTGCTTATATAAGCAAAAAGAATTGTGAATGAATAGTAACATATTTTGTATTATAATTTTTAATGAAATGTTTACGATATTGCTTATCACTTTCTGCATGTGGGGAATCTAACAACATAACTGTATGGGGGTAAATGAAATATAGAATCATTATGTAGAATTCTGTATTTGGACAAATTATCTGCTTTTCATTTTAAGAAAGTTGTGCATTTTCTGAAATTTTAGTAAACAATATACTTATTTCACTGCGGGAAATTGTGCCTAATATAGCAGAGATTTCTACATGGTAGCAAAGGTTTGCTCAGGCTGTGTGTGTGCCTCATGGGCTTGGCGCAGTGGTGTATTTAATAATACAGAACATCGTGTCCTGTTACGTCAGCCACGCATCCTCACTAATGAAACACGATCTGCCGCCATTATGGTGTCAACTCATCCAAAAACACTCCCCAAGGAAATGTTGCTTATTAAATTTACCTAGAACTCTCACCCAAATTAGTGTTGCATTTTATGCAGATTGGGGAAACTGAGACTGTCAAGAAGTGACACTAAGAGAATCTTGTGCTAGGAGGAGAATCTTTTGCAAAATACAGTATGATTCTTAAACTTCACTGGCCATCAGATTTCTTGGGGTATGTGTTAAAAACGCACACTCTGTGCCTCCGACTCTAGAGTTTCTGACATAATAGGGGTTAGATGGCACCCAGAAATCTGGCTTCACAAGAACCCTGTATGATTTTGACATCACTGGTCTACTCTAAGAAATATAGTTTCGTTGGCCCTGTACCCAGCTGAGAAGGCACACACTAAGAAGTTGTGTCCTGAGCAAGATGGGAAAGGCTAAACTCTAAAGCTGGAGAAGCTTGCTTTTGAACCCAGCTCATCTCTGTTTTCAATTCATTTCTCTCTCCCCAGGCACTTCAGGTGGCCTCACTGTTGAATCTTCATGGAGGTGACTTACCAAGCCCCTCATATATTTTTTCCCTTTCTCCCTCCCCTCCGTCCCACATTAAACCTCTGTGTTATGCCTAAGGTGACAGCCAGATGTCTGATGAACGGCCCATGTTGAGGGGTCGTGACTGCCAGCACTTCAGAAATGTGTGGTGCTTCTAGGCATGCATTCCTTTTAGCAAAGGGCTCCAGAAAGTATGGACGTTTGCCACAAGGAAGAAATCTCAAATACTAAACTTCCAGATGCCCTGGCAGTACAGTGGGGGAGGTGATTTTGGTTTGCTTCCCTCAACTCTTGGCAGGCCTCCTTGTAAAATCAACTCTGTTCCTAAGAACGCACAGGATTTCCTTTGCAGACTTGCGTAGAAGTTGAAGAGGACAGAACTGACCACAAAAGGCATCAAGAGTGCCAAATTTTTGTATTCCAGCTTTGCTGGTTGGGGTGGATAGTATCAACCTGAAAAAAAAATTGGCTAACACTATCCAAATTCATTTGACCCCAATATGATACTAATCTAAATCATAAAGCCAGCATGAGAGTTTGCAGTGGGAAGTATCTCTTTCCAAAGGGAAGCTGTTCAACCCACGAAGGATCAGCATCAGCTGTAGGAGTTTAGAATCAGGTCACTTCTGCTCTTCTCCCAGAGGCCCTACTCCAACTCTCCTGGAGGCCAGAGCCATGCACTTTAACCGTAGAGTAGGGAAGTACACTGACACATAGTAAGCCTCTATTACTATCATATCATTAGTGGTATTATTAGCCCTTCTGGAAAAAGTTAGAAAGCTGAACTTGATGTTGGGGTACTTCAACCTCTTTGTTGGGGTAGGAATGGAAACACTGGGAGAATTTCTTCTATGTATTTTCAAGCCACAGTGCATCTGAATTGTGGGTTAGAAGCCAATTTAAGGTATCTGTATTCAACTATTAAAAATATTAAATATATTATTCCATCAATTTCCTCAAAAAGTTCTTAGTCTTTGTCTCTATTAGTACTTTTTATTGTGTAAAATTTAATTAGATAAAATAAAGCAAATTGTCAAATTCAATCCTACATTGTAAACTGCAAAATAACATTGCAAAGCATTATGCAGATGTTTAGGGTTAAAATTCAAGGTTTGACCTGATGAGGTGGCTTATGCCTGCATTCCCAATAGTCTGGGAGGCTGAAGCGGGCAGATGACTTGAGCCCAGGAGTTCAAGACCAGCCTGAGCAACGTGGTGAAACCTTGTCTCTACAAAAGATAAAAAAAATTAGTTGGACATGGTGGCTCACACCTATGGTCTCAGTTACTCAGGAGGCTGAAGTGGGAGGATCACTTCAGCACAAGAGGCAGAAGTTGCAGTGAGCTGAGATCATGCTATTGCACTCCATCCAGCCTTGGTGACAGAGCGAGACCCGGTCTCAAAAAAAAAAAAAAAAAAAAGAATAAGTAAAATAAAATAAAATTCAAAAATTCAAAGTTGGTTTATCTTAGCATATGTCTTCCCAGGGGAAAAAATACTATATTCTCATGACCTCTTAAACTTAGAATCAGGTAAAGGGATGCAGATTCATTATTCATAAAAAGTTCAGTGTTTCTTATCACTTTATGTTAAAAATGTATTTTATTTTATTCCAGCTTTAATGAGGTATATTTGACAAATAATGTTATATAAATTATAAGTGTATATTGTGATGATTATGTGTATATATATGAAATGTGAAATGTTTATCACAGTCAAGTCAGTTAACACATCCGAGACCTCACATATTTACCTCTTGTGGTGTGTGTGGTGAGAACATTTAAGATCTACTCTCTTAGCAAATTTCAAGTGTACAATACATTGCTGTTAAATAGTCATCATGCTGTACATTAGATTCCTAGAACTTACTCAACTTATAACAGAAAATTTGTACCCATTGACCAATTTCTCTCCGTTTCCTTCACCCCTCAGCCTTGGCAACAACCATACTACTCTCTATTTCTATGAGTTTAACTTTTTAAGATTCCACATGTAAGTGAGATAATACAGTATTTATCCTTCTCTGTCTGACTTATTTCACTTAGCATAATCCCCTCAAGTTTCATCCATGTTGTTGCAAATGGCATGATTTCCTCATGTTTTTAAGGCTGAGTAGTATTTCATTGTGTGTATTTTCTTTATCTGTTCATCTGTGGATGAACACTTGGATTGTCTCCATGTCTTGTCTATTGTGGATAATACTGCAGTGAACATGAGAGTGCAGATGTCGCCTTGGCATATGTTTTTGTTTTCCTCAGTTATATACCCAGAAGTAGCATTGCTGGATATGTAGTATTTCTATTTTTAATTTTTGGAGGAGCCTCCACACTGTTTTCTTTTTTTTTATTATACTCTAAGTTCTAGGGTACATGTGCACAACATGCAGGTTTGTTGCATAGGTATATATGTGCCATGTTGGTTTGCCACACCCATCAACTCATCATCTACATTAGGAATTTCTCCTAATGCTATCCCTCCCCCAGCCTCCCACCCACTGAAAGGCCCCAGTGTGTGATGTTCCCCACCCTGTGTCCAAGTGTTCCCATTGTTCAATTCCCACCTATGAGTGAGAACATGTGGTGTTTGGTTTTCTGTCCTTGTGACAGTTTGCGGAGAATGATGGTTTCCAGCTTCATCTATGTCCCTGCAAAGGACATGAACTCATCCTTTTTTATGGCTGCGTAGTATTCCATGGTGTATATGTGCCACATTTTCTTAATCCAATCTATCATTGATGGATATTTGGGTTGGTTCCAAGTCTTTACTATTGTGAATAGTGCCGCAATAAACATACGTGTGCATGTGTCTTTATAGTAGCATGATTTGGGATTATGTGTGTCTGTTGGCTTCATAAATGTCTTCTTTTGAGAAGTGTCCATGTCCTTTGCCTACTTTTTGATGTGGTTGTTTGTTTTTTTCTTGTAAATTTGTTTAAGTTCTTTGTAGATTCTGGATATTAGCTGTTTGTCAGATGGGTAGATTGAAAAAATTTTCTCCCGTTCTGTAGGTTGCCTGTTCACTCTGATGATAGTTTCTTTTGCCATGCAGAAGCCCTTTAGTTTAATTAGATACGATTTGTCTATTTTGGCTTTTGTTGCCATTGCTTTTGGTGTTTTAGTCATGAAGTCTTTGCCCATGCCTATGTCCTGAATGGTATTGCCTAGGTTTTCTTCTAGGGTTTTTATGGTTTTAGGTCTTACATTTAAGTCTTTAATCCATCTTGAGTTAATTTTTATATAAGGTGTAAGGAAGGGATCCAGTTTCAGCTTTCTACATATGGCTAACCAGTTTTCCCAGCACCATTTATTAAAAAGGGAATCCTTTCCCCATTTCTTGTTTTTGTCAGGTTTGTCAAAGATCAGATGGTTGTATATGTGTGGTGTTATTTCTGAGGCCTCTGTTCTGTTCCATTGGTCTATATATCTGTTTTGGTACCAGTACCATGCTGTTTTGGTAACTGTAGCCTTGTAGAATAGTTTGAAGTCAGGTAGTGTGATGCCTCCAGCTTTGTTCTTTTTGCTTAGGATTGTCTTGGGTATGCGGGCTCTTTTTTGGTCCCATATGAACTTTAGTTTTTTCCAATTCTGTGAAGAAAGTCATTGGTCATTGGTAGCTTGATGGGATGGCATTGAATCTATAAATTACCTTGGGCAGTACCTCCATGCTGTTTTCAATAATGGCTATGCCAATTTATATTCCCACCAATGGTGCACAAGGATTCCCTTTTCTCCACATCCTCACCAACACTTGTTATCTCTTACCCGGTTGATAATAGTCATTTTAACAGGTGTGAAGTGATATTTCATTGTGGTTTTGATTTGCATTTCCCTAATAATTTGTAATGTTAAAGAGCTTCTCAACACCTTTTCATGTACCTGTTGGCCACCTGTATGTCTTCTTTGAAAAAATGTCTACGCAGGTCATTTGCCCATTTTAAAATCAGATTATTTATTTCTTGCTGTTGAGTTGTATGAGTTCCTTATATATTTTGGATATTAATCCCTTGTCCTGTATATGGTTTGAAAATTCTGTAAGCTGCTTTTTCATTTTGTTGATTGTTTTCTTTGCTGTGCAGAAGCTTTTTAGTTTGATGTAGTCCCACTGTTTATTTCTGCTTTGGTAGCATGTGCTTTTCATGTCATATCCAAAAAAAGCAGTGCTAAGACAAATGTCAATGGAGCTTTATCCCTATGTTTTCTTTCAGTAGTTTTACAGCTTTAGGTCTTACATTTAAATCTTTAATCCATTTTAAGTTAATTTCTGTGACTGGCCTCAGATCGGGGTCGTAGTTCATTCTTTTGCATGTAGATATCCAGTTTTCCTAACACCATTTATTAAAAAGGCTATTATTCCTCATTATGCATTCCTGACACCCTTGTCAAATATTACTTGATTCCATGTGTGTGAGTTTTTTTTTTATGTAAACCATTTTTATTTTATCATGGAACTCTTTTGGGCACCATTATTTCCATTAGCATAGAGGTAGCTTCAGTTAATATTCTATAACAAGGCAGTAAATGCCCCATCAAGTGGAAATTCTCTAGTTCAGTTGTTGTTATAGAAAAACACTCACAGTCTTTTGCCATTCAGCCCCGATGAATGCTCCACACAAAGGGCTATGCAGTGACTAATTCATCTAGACTAGCACTCCAGGTACTACCCTATACTTTGTGGGCTTAGGTGATTTTACTAGTTCCCATTTAGCATGTTTAATTAACATTTCCTAAAAGAGCAGATTTACATGCCTTCAGCTTCATAGTACTAGAAAGGGGAAACATCCCAGTCAGATGCAGTACCCATTTTAATAAGACATTTAGGTAAAGGAGTTCAACTACCTTATATAAAGCTTGTTTAAACATCTTAAATTTTATAATTCTATTAATCTGTGTGCTTTTATATTCTGGTCCCAGGCCTTTTCTATCCCCAGACCATTTTACCTTTTATGGTGAAAAAGGGTTTGGGTTCCCAGCAGGGAGTTGCATCTGTAAGACATATGAGAGACAGCAAATTTGATAAGGCTTCTTAAATAGTCCTATGATTCTGTGGGAGGGGCACCCATGTAAAAGGGGTCCACTTAGCTCCCAAATTTACCATGACCTGGCTAATGGGTGTATTTGTTGGGAGGATATCCCAGTCATCATAAAGCCAGTCCAATATGGCTTGCATATGAAGGATATTAACTGCTTCACCTGGGGTGGTTCATTTGGTATTTTATAGGGAGAGTTGGGCAGTCCTCTTCTCAGGGCAAGCAGCACTTACAGTGTCACTTATCCAGTTTACTAGGCTGATTGTTCTCTTAGGAATAACCTCCTATGCATTTGGATTGCATATACTTATTAGAGATTAGTAGTGAGCTGTGAGTCTTGCATGAACCCAAACAAGCTCTTAAATTCTGTAGCATTTAAATTTAAGAATTTTGTCCTTAAAGTGGTTATTTTTACAATTCACTATAGTAAAGATTTTTTAAGAAGCTGATGATACCAATCTATGAAATGGAACAATTCCCTTACATTATACATTCTGCTTTTTAATGGTTACTTGGTTTTAGCCTTCCCCCATATTGACTATTTTTTTTGGTAATCACAGGGCTCAGAGTTAACTTTTGTTGCACTGGCCTAATTGTTCCCTTTATTTAGTTTTATTTGTATACTTTTTCCTTCATTTTAAAGCAACCATTAAATAGTTTTTAACTAGAGGAAAAAAACTATTTTCCTTTTTTAAAGCAAAATCAACATCTTTGTGTTTCATAAACTTTACCAAAAATGTATTTTATGCTCCCACTATTTTAACTTTTAATAATCCAAATTTCCAGTGAAAATAAAAACCAAGGGTTTAACATGACTTTAAGATTTTAAATTACTGGAGAGAGTTTTGAGATTAAATTTACCAAATTAATTTTATCACAGATTACTAAGATTATGGGAATTAAACGACATCTGAGCTAACTTATACCAGTCCAATGGGCACTTTTATTCTGCATGCCTATTATATCTGTATGCTTTTATGTGTCATGTGGAAATATTTCACTACCAAACTGCATGAAAGAGCTCTAATCAAGTAACTTTTAAAAAGCTACTTGATTACCACTGTATCCTTTATGCTTTTGATATCCAGGTCTGGCACATAATAGGTACTCAATAATTGTTTTTTAATTAATAAATGGAAATACCTGGCTAATTTTTTTGTGTATTTTTAGTAGAGATGGGGTTTCACCGTGCTGGCCAGGCTGGTTTTGAACTCCTGACCTCAAGTGACCTGCCTGTATCAGCCTCCCAAAGTGCTAGGATTACAGGTATGAGCTACCATGCCCAGCCTCAAAGGATATTTTATTTGCTTGTTTAAAAAGCAATTCCCTTTCCTACTTTAGATAATTAATAAAAGTTACAGGAACCATCAAAAGGTGAAGGAGAGAGCTATTATCCAAGGCCTTTTCAAAGAGAAAGAGCTGAATTTTTGAGGTATCAATCTGAAGAATGTCAAAGAGATAGGTCATAGAATTTAAAAATTAAAAACTTCTTGCATTAAAAATAAGTCAATATTTGTAATAAAATCTTGTTTTAACTAATTAGTTTTGTATTAGTGTATTTTTTAATATTAAAGACCTGTCTCTAGAAAGACTATTATGATTTCTTCTTAATCATAGCCAACTGAATTACACAACCCCTTTTTTAAAAAAAATTTCTTTTTACTAACGTTATTATGACTTACATAGACTATTCACAACATGCTTAGACTTTCTGTTTTGTCCTAAATATCCCTTTTTCTTGAACAACAAAGCCAATTTATTTTAGGACAAACATTCACATGTGGGTTTATTTCTGAGCTCTATGTCCTGTTCCATTGGTCTATTGTCTGTTTTTATGCTAGTGCCTTACTGTTTTGATTGCTGTAGCTTTGTAATATAGTTTAAAATCAGGAACTGTGATGTCTCCAGCTTTGTTCTTTCTCAAGTTCGCTTTGGCTATGTGTGGTCTTTTGTAGATCTATGCACATTTAAGATTATGTGTTCTATTTCTGTGAAAAATGCCATTGAACTTTTGATAGGAATTGCCCTGAGTCTATAGATCGCTTTGAGTAGAATGGACATTTTAACAACATTAATTCTCCTGATTTATGATTATGGGATACCTTTTTATTTATTTGTGTGTTCAATTTCTTTCATTAATATTTTGTAGTTTTTAGTATACAGATCTTTCACATTCTTGGTTAAATTTATCTTAAGTATTTTATTCTTTTTGATGATGTTGTAAATAGGATTGTTTGTTGTTAGTGTGTAGAAACACAGCTGATTTTTGTATGTTGAACTTGCATCCTGCAGCTTTACTGAATTTATCAGTTCTAACATTGTTTTTATGGAGTCTTTAGGGTATATATATATAAGGTCATGTCATCTGCAAACAGAGTCAATTTTGCTTCTTTCTTTCTGATTTGGATTTTTAAAATTTCTTTTTCTTGCCTAATTGCTCTGGCTAGAACTTCCAGTACTATGTTGAATAGAAGTAATGAGAGTGGGCACCCTTGTCTTGTTCCTATGAATAATTTTCAAAATTGTGGATTGACATAAAAATTGGCTGGTGCTACCTACGGCCATAACTTCAGTTATAATGTCAACATATTTCCATTTATTAATTCAAAAACAATTATTCAGTACCTATTATGTGCCAGACCTGGATATCAAAAGCATATGGGATACAATGGTAAATAACAGAGAAAGATCAACTGTTCACATACCAGACTTTCCATTTTAGCATACAAGATGGAACAAGAACCTGCCTCCCCTTTGTTGAAACTTACGTTTATGTGTCCATTCTGGATAAGTCTTGCAGAAAGTTTGATGAACACTGTCAAGGATGTACAGAGTAGGGTAAAGCTTAGGCACAGGTCTAGGGCTTGAAGTGTCAGGTGGTACTCTTCGTAGTGTGGTGGGTCCACACAGGCTAATGGGAATTTTGCATATGGATAAGGAAAGGTAACTGCATAGCCAAGGTAATTAGTCCCTGCAATCCCTGAAAATGAATAGAAGCAATATGGGCCCAGGAGAGCAGATTCCAAGGCTATTGCAAAATGAAGTGGACATCCCATAATGCTCAGAATCACAAAGGTGAAAGTAGCTTCCCCCTGAAAATAAAGCAAAAATAAATTGTTACTTTGGGAACAAAATATTTCAAAGGCTTCTTAGCAATATGAAGAAAATAAAAGAGATGCTGGCTATGAATCTCTCCTATTGGAAAATGAGGGAGAAATCAATCACGACTCTCTCTTTATATTTTCATTTTCCCTTAAAAATGTCCCTTGTATATTCATTTTCTTTTTTTTTTTTTCACTTTTTAAGTACCGGGATACATGTGCAAGATGTGCAGGTTTGTCACATAGGTTAACATGTGCCACAGCGATTTGCTGCACAGATCAACCTATCACGTAGGTATTAAGCCCAGCACCCATTAGCTATTCTTCCTGATGCTCTCCCTCCTGCCGCCTTTCATTTTCAATCTACACCAGAGGAGAATAATATATCAGCCAACTGGGGCAAAATTTAAATTAGTTCAATTCAACAAACGTTTATTTATGTGTTTCCCATCACATGGAAGCAACTAGTCTGGGTTGGGAAAAACAAAGATGAGTGAACAAAATCCCTGCTCAAGGTTCTTGCTACTCAGCTACTCAGGATGTGGTCCATCATTCAGTAGCACTGATATCCCCTGGGAGCTTGGCAGACATGCAGAATCTCAGGCCTCACCCAGATCTACTGAATCAGAATCTGCATTTTAACCAGATCTCTAGTTGATTTACATGTACATTAAAGTTTGAGAAGCCCTGTGTTAGCCATGGCAATAAAATTTATAATCAGATAATGTAGTCTTTTTGTATCATGGGATTATCTGGTTTTATGCAGTTGAAATGCAAGATAGCATAGACTTTTCATCCTTTTTTAGAAGGAGAGGTACCAAGAAGATTGGAAGGAGATCCCAGATTAAGGAGCTGAGAATTAAAAATATGTTACTAAAAGCAGAGAAGCCTATAGATCCATTTCTTCAAAATGAAATTTAGGAGCACTAACACAGGCTCTGTCCTCCCCAAATACAATAATGATCACAGGAACTTGTAGAAAATATTTGGAGCAGGGATCAGATAAAAATTATTCAGGGCTGGGCGCAGTAGCTAATGCCTGTAATCCCAGCATTTTGGGAGACTGATGTGGGTGGATCACCTGAGGTCAGGAGTTTGAGACCAGCCTGGCCAACATGGCGAAACCCTGTCTTTACTAGAAATACAAAAATTAGCTGGGCATGGTGGCGTGCACCTGTAGTCCCAGCTACTTGGGAGGCTGAGGCAGGAGAATCACTTGAACCTGGGAGGTGGAGGTTGTAGTGAGCCGAGATCATGCCACTGCACTCCAGCCTGGGGGACAGAGTAAAACTCCGTCTCAAAAAAAAAAAAATCTTTTAAAACAGAGTTTATTTCTGAAATCCATTGTAGTAAGGCATCAATTAGACCAAATTCAATTCTAATTGGAAATCATATTTTTTATGTTCCATCCTGAACTTAGTAGTGATTTGACCTTCAAAGCCTCTCTACCATCCTACTTGGCATCGGTATATTTACCAGGTACCTCTGGGTCCACTCTCTGTAAGCCAACAGTAGAAGCACACCAGTTGTGATGGCCTGTGACAAGAAAATGGAAAAATAAACATCCACCACAGAAGGTACCTCTGGAAAGAGTTCAATCTGTCTCACAGTTTGACAACTTTATCATGAACTTGAAGGAACAGAAAATGACTCAGTGGATTTATGGCTCTGATTTCCTCCTCATCCGTGGAAAAAAACTGTGATGACGAGGAAAGTAAGCCATTAGTGTCATAAAGACATGATTCATACAAGTTCATTTTTTGATTCTCTATGTTGCCTTTGCCATCAGAATCATCGCCTCCACTACTGTAAGGTGTCACCACGATAATAGCTTGGCTTTATAACCCTTGCCATACATTTTATTTTGATTAAATGTCTATCGTTCACCTTTCTCACAAACTGATGAAACTGTAAATGGAAGGAACCAGAATGGAAACTTGTCACAAAACCCTGAGGCGACTTTCTCTTTTGCTATTTGCTTTCTTTTGAGATTCCATAGCCTCAGCCTGCTGGTGGGATGCAAATACACGATCCCCTTTTCTCAAATAACAAAGATTATCATTAGAATGAATGCATGATGTGGCATTTATTGTTCTGGGTACAGTGGTGTCCAGCCTTTCAAAAGAGAGTTTTTCTTTATAGTCTCTGTTGAAGGAAAAAGGCCCACAGTGTGGAATGAAAATAGTTAAACAAAAGAGGGAAGAGTGTCACCAGAATTTAGCAGCGGATAATGAAAAAAATATATTCCTGGCTCTTTGATTCAGCAACAGATCTGATGGAGGAGACCTTTGTGGTCACTGAGACTGGAAATAGCTTATTCTTAATCCGCATATATCATTTGTTCTTGGTTAATGGCTCTTTTGAGGTTGAGCGAGAAAGAGGAAGAGATGTGCCTAAAATAAGATATAGAATATGGACAGCTCTAAATATAGTACAAGTTAGCTTTTGACAGAGAAATAAGCATGACTGTATGTACACAATCAACAAAGTTAAGGAGGAAAAAAAATCAGCATTTTTACCCACATGGTTGTGTGGTATGCTGCTTTTGTAGCAGCTGGATGTGGCATATTTATTGTTTTGAGACTTAGCTTTTTCATTTTCCTGGCATATTTTATTTTGAATGTTGGATTTAGAGAATTTGAGAGAGAGGGAAACACACACGCGCGTGCACACACACACACAGACACACACTTCTCATGTAGCTGAGCCTACAATTCCAGACTTGGCATCGCCATACCATAAAACTCCCATGGATAAAAACAGAACCATCTGTAGTCAAAAGGGGTTCCTGGCTTGATTCTGCAAGAGGAAAGTTTCCAAGGGACCCTATGGAGGGTGAGCCAGCATAAATAGTACAAGAAAACAAAAGAATTATTAAGAGCAACTGTAACACCGGTGCTGTAGGGTAAGCCTGGGGCTTTCTGTGCTTTGGGAGGCATGGCCCTCAATTGACACATCACTCCTCTGTCAGAGAGAGAAACACTGAAGCCAGATAAGCAAGGGAGACAGGCTCACGCCCCTCTGCTGGTTTAACTCTGAGTAGATAGCTGACATTATCAGATGCTGAGATTCCAGGTTGCCTTAACTACTTTGGCATGAGCTGTTTCTTTCCTTTCAAAAAGTTGAAAAATGCTGCAGAATTTCAGTTGCCTGTTATTTTTGTAGCTGCCAGCTTGAATTTTGCTTTGTTTACATAAAACTTTGAAAAAGATCTTTCATGCAGTAGGCTGAGTATGAATGCCTTCAGTAACTTGTTAAATCCACCCTGCAAATTGAAAGGCAGCTCAAGAGGTTAGCGCACCCATCTTTATTGGTGCTCCCCGCCAGACATGGGAGATAGAATAGGGCTATTTTCCCCAAGATGCGCAGACTTCCCCTTTTCTTTCTTCCATTTCTTCTTGAAAATTATATTTTTAGATAGGGAGGAGAAAAGAATGAAAAAGGAAGAGATTTGAGGGTAGGCAGGACAAGTCAAGGGGAAGAGAAAATGTGAGAGAGGGAGTGTCTGAGGGGGGAATAGTTGGCTGAAGAGGAGGCCAGGTTATGAGGAAGGGGAGAGTGGAGGCTGTGTCTGGCAGTGAGTGGGGAAAGAAGAGAGGGCCCCCATCCTGCACTCGCCTCCCTCAGCTCTCCTTGACATGCTGCTGCCTTGCTTTCTGGGCGCTTCCAGGGATATCAGCTGGGTTTTGCAACAATTACTGCTAACACTTTGATTGCATGATCATTGTGAACCCTCCCACTAAATCTTTAAATTGCCTAAGTAGAGGACGTAGTTCCCAGAAGTAGATGAATTGAAGGAAGCAGGGAGCCCTCACAATAGAAATAGAAACTTTAAGAGGTATCATATTAATATGGTTAATTTATTCACTTACAAGCATCTGTTATGAGTCTACTGCAAACAAGCAATGTGCTAGGTACTGTGCTGATAAAGTAATAATAAATGTTAACATGTATTGAGTGAGTGTTTAATATATGTTGAACACTTCACATGTGTTAACTCATTTAATCCTCACAATGACCTTATCATGTAGATATCCTCCCACTTTTAAAATGAGGCACAGAAAGGCTAAATAAGATGAACAAGATCCCCAAATAGTAATTGTACAAATAGTGGTTCTGACTGCCGCTGGAATTTACAGTTCAGGTGTAAAAATAATGCACACACGAGAATGGCTACAACACTAGGCAAGAAGGATGAATGTTTTCTGCATGAGAAGAGCTCAGAGATAAGGTATCACTTACAGGGGAAACATCGATGATAAAGGCACCATGGAGAAATAGGATCTGAAGTGGGTTTAAGGATGGATGTGATTTCAATGGGAGGTGACAGAGGGAGGGCAGCTCAGTCTGTGGGAGCAGCATGTGCAAAGGTGGGGAAGTGGCTGCCATGCTTAGGGAGCAGGGAGTGAGGAGTCCACACTGAAAGGAGGGCCAGTTCTTGGCAGAGAAGAGTAGAAAATCAGGATTGAAAGCCAGGTAATACCAGGGTGAGAAGGACCTCACAATGCAGTCTAGCACGTCTGAACTTTGTTTAGGGACAATGAAGCAACGTGAAAGATTTTTGAAGGACCTGTAGCCTGACTACTGAAGGGGTTTAGAAAGATGAGCCAGTTGTGTGCACACTAGATTGGAATACGGGGAGGCCTAGACATCTCTGTAGAACCCTGGTCTTCAGATTTATTTTTTCAACTCTAGCCACAATAACGAATACATTTTATGTCATAGTTATAAATATTTTTATATCTGACCAAAATAATATGTAACCATCATTATGCATCATATGCATTATGATGCATATAAAAGATATACAAATTTTGGTCAGATATAAAAAATGTGGTGCATTCTAATATTATCTATTCCATTCCACTCCACTCCACTCCACTCCACTCTACTCTGTTCTCCTCTGTTCTATTCTATTCTATTCTATTCTATTCTATCCTATTCTATTCTATTCTATGCATTTATTGTAAATACTGCTAGCTACTCAATAGATTGATTTTATAATTCACTAATGGATAGATTCCCACAGTTTGGCTATCAAAGTTACCTAGGCATAAAATCTGAGAAGTGATGGCAAGTGGTAAGGGGGTATAGAGTGAGATGGAAAAGGAAGGAATGCATAGGGGTATGCCTTGTAGGAAAAATTAAAGTTACATGGCAACTGATTAGAGTAGGGTTGGTGTTAGGCTGTAGGGCATTGCTGCCTGCAGTGTGGTCCTAGGACCAGCAGCATGGGCATCCTCTGGGAACTCATTAGACATGCAGACTCTCAGGCCCCACCCCAGACCTGCTGAATTAGAACCTGCATCTCATCAAGATCTGCTAATGATTTGTATGCACGTTACAGTTTGAGAAGGGATAGTTTAGAGGAACAGGTTGAGTCAAAATCACTCCAGTATTTGGAATTGAGTTACCAAGACAATGACAGGGAAGTTGGAGAAGAAAAAAAATGGTTTTGGTGACAAGATGATTAATTTGGTTTTAGACAAGTTGGCCTTAAAGCAGCTTAGGATATCTAAGTGGAAAAATGGACCATTGACATAGATTATTTGCTTGATCAAACTTTAGTCAGGTTCCTGAACCTTCTCCTAGGCCCATCTGTGTACTTTCTTGTAAAATCCAGTTTGAGCACAAGAACCCTGCTGCTGATGAGTCAGTTTAGCAAGAACCCCCCCTAGTCTCAATATCTGATCACCCTCTATAACTAGTCAGATTTCTCCTCCTCCCCCATCCCCACCGTGATGTCTGATCACCCTGGCCTGTCTTCAGCAAGAAAACTGGTAGGTCTGTATAGCCAGAATCCCCCTTGCCCCTGATATTTCCTGTTAGTAATTTTCCATCCACCGACTTTTACCCTTATAGCTGCTTCTCAGCTATAAATTCCCATTTGCTCATGCTGTGCTTGGACTAGAACCTTGTTCTATATTGATGTCTCTTTTTCCCTATTGCAATAATCCTGAATAAAATTTGCTTTTATTGCTTTAACTAACTGTTCAGCTCTGGTTTTTCTTTGACACCATCAGGCAGTTGGAAGACATGCAACTGTGGAAGCTGTAACAGACGTGCATGGTCATGTAATCAAGCCCCTTCTCTAACCGTCGAGGAAGGGGCAGAACTTCCGTTGAGGAAGACTGCAAAACTAAATCTAGCGTGACCTTTCTCCCAAATTCCCTTCTCTAAGCAGGGCTCTGGGTACAGCGCTGCACTTGCCATTGGCCAAGTCACTGGGCTGTCCAGCCCTCAGGGCCTGTGTTTAAACTCATTGCACTCCAGTCTTTTCATCAGAACTTGATCTACAAGCCATGTTTTCTAGAATTAATAGAACTCATTCCTTATGGTATTATGATCTCCTCACTGAATACTTGCTAGCAGCTGATGCTTTTAAATAACCTAGCTCCAAAATTCTAGGAAAATTGCTTGTCATATAAATGTCAAAATGGAACTAGGGAGTCTGAGGACCAATCTATATGAAGTACTTAGAGAGTCTTGAATGAAAGACTTTGAACAAATTCAAAGTACTGTATCATATACAAAAATCTCTTTCTTACAAGTCCCCAAGGAAATATGGAGTCATCTGTAAAAGGAAATGTTAATATGGTTGAAATGTACAAATCTTGTCACTGGAGGAAGACATACTTTGGAGGCAAGTTAAGAAGTGATTGGTAAGGGAGGTTGTGGAATGAGTCAGAGACTGTTTGAAGTTCACCCTGATCAGACAGAACTGTGGTTCAGTAGGAAACTCACTAGTAAAAAAACATAACGTTCGTCCAAATTTAGACATTATTGAAAGACTGAGCATTTGTATTACTTTCCTTCTCATGAGGATTTTTTCCTGCACTAGTATAATATAAATACCACCCTGACCTTTAGTCTTTGCAACCTAATTGGTATTCAACTGTATAAGAAATTCTGTACCAACAGAACGGAGGGTATGAGATTCATTCACTCATTCAACAATACTTATTGAACAATATTTATTGAACACAGAGTTTGTAATTCCCTTTGTTCCAAGTTCTTCAGATACAGCAGTAAACATAATAGAAAAAACAATCCCTGCCCTTCTACAATATACATTTGTTAGAGGAGAGGGGAATATACAAACAATAAATTGAAAAATTATATAGTGTCTTATATGCTAATAAGTGTTATGAGGAAAAAATAGAGCAGGGTATCAGAGATTGGGAACACCAGTTGGGGTCAGGGGATTACAATTTTAAATAGTGTAATGGGAGCAAACCTCCATAAAAAAGTGTTGTTTGATAAAGAATTAATCAAGAATTGAAGGAGACTAGGGAGTGAGCCAAGTTCAGGAAGAGGCTTTAGGCAGAGGGCAGGTAGTGCAAAGGCCCTGAGGCAGAAACACATCATGGCATGTTTGAAAACTGCAAGGAGCCAATGTGATGGGAGAGAAGTGACCTAAGGGAAGAGTGGTAGGAGATGAAGTCCAGGAAGTAACAGGATGGAGAACTCAGCAGGTTACGAGGGAGTAGGATAGGAAAGTGAGGTGGGTGACACAGGATTAAGAACAAAGGGCTTGAACAGAGAGTAGGGCACAAATGAAAGGCATAGTATTAACTAGCATTTGAAGAGGGCTTTAAAATTGGCAAAGCTCTTTATTATACAATCTTTGTTTAAATTGTGTTCCTTCTCACTGTGCATCTTAGGGTTGGACAGTTTTACACGTGGGCTCTTTTTATCTGTAAAATTCCCCATTTTACAGATAAAGGGAATGAGGAACTGGCTGGCTGAGGGTCCTGCTTTTGACCTCCTACCAAGAACATCAAAGTCAGGACTTGAAAACAGGTCCACTTCTCTAAATCCTTTATCTCTGACTCCATTTCCTGATGCTGCCACCTCTGAAATCAAACAGTTACCAATTAACTATGTGCTGGAGACACATCATATCATTTCTCCGGGCCTAACTGGTAAAAATAGATGTTTGGCCTAGAACAATACATTCAATCATCTGTAATCTTAATCAAAATCACCAATATTTGTTTAATGTATTATGTTGCAGTCTGAAAGGATAGGCAAACAGCTGTAACAAAAGAATGTAGGGTTGAACTCTAATCATGATATTGTTAAACTTTGTGAAATCAGAATTTTTAAAAAAATTAAATGAAATAGAAAATATCAGAATATGTTTCACATAGAGGGTAAGTACTATTTTGAGCAACTTTTGTTTTATAGATATATAAACATCTACTATACATGTATATACATAATAGATGTAGATATCTATTTATCTAGAGAGAAGAATGTAGATGTATTTATGTACATTCTGGGTCCTCACCTAAAATATTTTTCTGACTCTGAGTCACCAAAAAAAAGTTTGGAAGCCACTTGAATAAGTGTAACTGCCATCTCTGCATTCCAGTAGAACTTAAACAAATATTTCTTTGAATGAATTGTGGTTTCAGGTAGGTGTTGGAGAAAAGAAGGGAAGATCAAGATTGGGGTGATAGATGCAAAAGAATGTATTGAAAAAGAAAAAAAAACTGAGAAAGAGAAAGATAACCCTGTGGTTTCCTCATTCCATCGACTCTCCCATAATCCCACTGGCTTCCGTCTATCTGCACACATTCATCAAACCCCACTAGACCAAGTTCCTTTAAGATGAAGACCTTGTTGGATCCTTCATTGTAACTCAACGACATAGGGGGCTATTCATAAATATTTATCTAATAAGTAGATTAAAATTTATATTTCCTGAGGTCTAGTTTTTAGGTGGTATCTCAGTTAAAGTTTTAACTTTTTAAAGATTTAAGATACTATCTCACACAACAGTGGCTACATTTTGTTTGTTTGTTTTGAGATGGAGTCTTGCTCTGTCACCCAGGCTGGAGTGCAGTGGTATGATCTCGGCTCACTGCAAACTCTGCCTCCCAGGTTCATGTGATTCTCCTGCCTCAGTCTCCTGAGTAGCTGGGATTACAGGTGCATGCCACCACGCCTAGCTAATTTTTGTATTTTTAGTAGTGACGGGGTTTCGCCATGTTGGTCAGGCTGGTCTCGAACTCCTGACCTCGTGATCCGCTCCCCTTGGCTTCCCAAAGTGCTGGGATTACAAGCGTGAGCCACCATGCCCGGCCAAGTGGCTACATTTTAATAGAAGATTCCTTAAGATCAAAAAGCTTCAATATTGAATTCTCCAGTCTCCAGTAGTGTCAGGCGTCACAGGAATCAATGAGAGAAGGATTTGTTGGACAGGTGGGTCTCTGTAACTTCTCTTAAATCATACCAGCATGGAAGCCAGTTACTCCCAAGACTAGATGTGCCCATTTTTTTTTGGTTGGAGAGCTAAGGGACCAGGCCAATCGTTTATCTGTGCAATGATTCAATGAGCGCACACGGAGTACTACTTAGTGTCGTACGCTGTACTTGGCACATGTACTTTCCTAGTGAATTGTGAAGTCCATCTTGAATTATTGAATTATTTGAATTATTTTCAAATAATTGAAAATTATTGAGTTATTTTCAGTTCAAACAGTTGCTTGCAAGAGAAAGGTGGAAAAACAAATATTTGGGGTTTGTAAATTTTGGGGCCATGTACATCTTAGTGTTTGCAATGAAAGCATTAGTTTGAAAATTATTTTACTTTGTTCTGTATTTTAAAATTACTTTTCAAGGTTTATGTTTTTTTCTAAATTCAAAATTCACATTTCAAAAGATTCTAATTTCTTAGCATATCAAGTTAAGTGGATTAAAATAAAATAACTTTTTAAGAATTTCTTGAGCAGCATGTCATTAAAAATACATAATATACATGTATACATGATAAAACAATATTAAGATCATTTTTATACTTAAAATGCAATTAATAGAAATCAATGTTCCAAGGCGGATTCTGATTTTTTGTGGAATTTTGACTTCTTTGTATTGTTAGAACAATTTAAAAGGATATGTTCTTCTGTTTTCCCTTTCCCTCCCACCTTCTTTTATTTTCTCAATATATTTAATAAACTATTTTCATACCAAAGCTCCATTCCAGATAGGACAAGCAATTCGAACACTCCATCCTGTGAACCAAGGCTTGTAAGAAAAGACAGGAAAGAAAGCAATAACTCCAGAGCATACACTGAGGATCCCCAGAGTAACAAGAATCCGGCCAGCAGCCTGGTAGAGGCCCTTCATTTTCCTTGGTGGCTTGAGGCCTTGGTCTCAAAGATGTTTTGTTACCAAAACATGAGCGTATGACAGGCCTCAGTAAATAGAAGTTTCTTAGAGACAGTAGCCACGACACATACGAACTGTTGATCTACTTGGAAACAAGATTCTATTTGTTTTACCAAAGATGAAATGTACTCAAATAGTCCTTGGCATAAATTTGACACAATAAATTCTAATAACAATTTATTTAAGAGAAAGAGAGAAAAAAATTATCCCTTGCTTTGGATTGCTGCCTTGATTCCCTTCATTCTGCCCTGTCCTGGGGAGTGACCACTTCCTGGCTTAATCAGATTCAAAGGCTTGCTGACTGAGCTAATTGTTTCTCAACTCAACCTGCCTAGTGGTTCCAGCATAAAGCCAACATCCTTTGTGTACAATAGATCCACATTCCCAGCACAATTTCCCACAAAACAAAGTAAAAATAAGCACCCTGGTCACTTTTCATTATATTTAATTTAAATGATTTCAACCCAAAGCAAGACCTTCACCTCCTTTCAAAGTTTAATTCCACTACAATTATTTTTGATAAAGATTTTTGATATGGATTCATTCCCAAATGGGCATGAACTTTATTATGGAGTTTTGCATTGTTTTCACTAAACCAGTTTCACCTTATTTTACTATTAATTTAATTTTCAATTAAAGTGTGATGATGGAAATGTATGCAGTTATAAAATAAAATAAACTTTGAGGAGCAATTCATCAGTTGAATAAAATGCTGATCCCCATTCATTCTTGAATCATAATTCTAATTTGAGATATTGAACTTAGGTACATTTAGGCAGTTACAAGTCATCTCTTACTTTTTCATGCATTTGAGAAAATGGTGTTATTTGATTTTGACTGATTGGATATATGTGGATGTCTGTTCAAAAAAATATCTTAAAAACACAGGTCAGTTTCTGAAGCCATCTGAATAATTTTCCTATTTAACATTAATACATTATTCCTTTTTACTGAAATAAAAGGATGAAAAATAATTTTATGAATGCAAATGAAGTGGTTTAGGACATCGATTTTGAGTCAGATGGAGCTGTGATCCGATTCTGGTTCCACTCTCTACCAGGTTTGTGTCCTTGAGTAAGGGCAAGTTACTTAACTTCTCTAGGTCTATTTATTCGTATGCGAAATGGGAATAAAAGTTAGTGTTTATCTTTAATGGATTTGGTTGAGAGGATTAAATGAGCTAAAACCATAAATGCCTAGCCCAGAGTTTAGCATAACGAAGATGTTCAGAAAGTTACTCTTGTTAAATTGGGATGTTCCACCTTTGGGGTCCTTCCATCGTGGGACAAAGGTGCACTTATTGTGGTTTTTTTTTAAATTCATCACCTTAAAAACATCATGTTTAACTCTTCCTGAACAATTTGGTAAAAACTCCCAAAGGACCCTCCCATATGTGGTGGAAAGAGAAGCTTCTCTCTGATTCTCTGCTTTTTTTCTTTCTGCCTTTCTGTCTTTAATAGCCATTCCACAGTTTGACCCAGATTTTGAAGCAGTTGCATTCCTGGATATACAGAATCCAGGAAACCAACTCATGCTTTCTGGTACAGCTGCTATTTCTTATCTCCTCTCAACACTGTGGGCTATATTCTCTGATTTTTTTTTTCTAACACCACTAGATAAATTTCACAAGGGCAGAGACCTTGCAAGTCTTATACATCCCTTAAATGTATGAGATATTCCCAGCGTCTACAACCTTGTCTGCATCAGAGCAGATACATATAGTAATAAGTATTTGTTGAATTAGTTGATTAATACATTAAACTTTCCCCTTTGTATTTGGGCTCTCCTGTCCCCCTGAAGCTGCACAAGTATAGAGCCATGTGAATCCACCACCGTCAATGAGTGTTGATGCTAGTTTGTTCCACTGATATGGGGGGGGAAGGGGTCGAGAGTGAAGAAAGACTTGTTTGTATTAGTATTTGGTTTGAGCTGTTTTGACTTTTTCCTTTACTTTTTATCTCAAGGTTATAGCTAGATGGTATGTCAATATGCTGTGGGTCAGATCACTCTCTCCTGTTTGCATGTTTGGAAAATAAAGACTGTTGAAATACTCATGTTAAACAGTACAAAGATGGCAAACAAAGAGAGTATTTTTTGTTTTAACTTGAAGGACCTTTTAAGTGCCTGTAACACTCACAGCCTAACCCTGACACTGCTATTGTGACTTATAAACCTGAATTTATTAGTGATTAGAGGAGCTGTTGCCACTTAATATAACAAAGAGAAGGAAGAGAGGTAGAATAGGGTTTCTCTCTGTGTGTTTTCCCGCAGGAATCTAGTCCCACTAATTTCATTAAAAAAAGGACATTTTCAGTGAGAGCAGCTACTAGGAAAGAAAAGAAAGTGTCACTGCTTCTGTCTTGGGCTTCCTCTCTGATCAGCCGTGTCTGTGTGCCCATGTCCTGGCAGCCAGCAAGGTTTATAGGGCCCCTGCTCCCTCTAGTCATCCCACGTGGCACTAACTGACTGCAAGTTGGGCCTGCAAGTTCTCCTAGGAGGTGGTGGTGTCAAGGTCGCTGTAGGCTGCTTTGCAGACTCCACCTTCTCCTCAACCCAGGGGATCCCAGGATCTTGGCTCAGGGAAAAAGGCGGTAGCTTCACCAAACACTTCAAGCCAGTTTTGCCACTGAAAACAAACAGAAAGCCCAAATTGACATTTTTATTCCAATGTTCCCCCCTCCACACCAAACACAAGAAATCATCAATCAATAAATCAGTCAAGCAAAATTAGACACTCAAAGAAGTGGAAGAACATCAGTGATGCGGAGAGAGGGAACCTGATATGAACATTCTCTACCTCTTTAAAATACATTCCTTCACATGTGAGCCTTAAAAATAACAGCTCTGTGGGGGCTATAGTCTTGGGATTTTTAAAGTAGGTTTCAAAGCTATGGAAGGAGTTCATTTTTGCCAAGTTAAAAGATAATGCAGCTCCAAACGAGAGATGAAATTAAAATGTTTTCTTTTCCTAGCAGCTTCAGATGACTAGCTTTATTTGTTTATGTATTAAAAAGGTAGCTCGTGTCCTAGAAAGAGTATGAGCTTTGGTGTCAGAAAGACCCAGATATTGAATATTCTATCTAATGCATACAAAAGGAATGAAAAAATTAGAAAAATTAACACTCGGTTAATATCAGTGCAATAAAGCAAAGATCATCAATAGATGTTAAAACCTTTGGATAAACGGAGAAAAAAATTACAATGCAAAAGAATATTTCTACCAAGTAGAAATATGGCAGCCACCTCAACCAAGTGATCAAACTTTACATCACCCAAAACAAGACAAACAGACATCATTGTCTCCTGATACAATACAATGCAAGCACACGCCATCTTCTGTGTAGTATTTTTGGCAAAAATATTTTAACCTGAATCTAATTATAAAGAAGCAATTAGATAAATCCAGATTATAGGGACATTTTGCAAAACACTGGCTTGGACTCTTCAAAATTATTCAAGTCATAAAAGACATTTAAAAAGCTGCAGGGACAATTGAGGAAGTTTAAGTATGGAGTTTATTTTAGATAATACTAGAGTATCAATGTTAAGTACCTTGGAAGGATGATTGGCATTATATTTATATAAGAGAATGTCCCATTGGTGAAACTGGGTGATGTTAGTGCTCTTTACAATTTTTTTCAGGATTTTTGTAGGTTTAATTTTGTTTTAATTTGTAATTTTAATTTTTTAGACACAGTGCCTTGCTCTGTCACCCAAGCTGGAGTGCAGTGGTACAATCATAGCTCACTATAACCTTGAACTCCTGGGCTCAAGCAATCCTCCTGCCTCATCCTCCTGAATAGCTGGGACAATAGGGCCATGCCACACCTGGTTAATGCTTTTTAATGTTTTTTTTTTCTGTAGAGATAGGATCTTGCTATGTTGCTCAGGCTAGCCTTGAACTCGTGGCCTCAAGTGATCCTCCAGCCTCAGCCCCCTAAAGTGCTGGGATTACAGGTGTGAGACATTTTTTGTAGGTTTGGAAATGTCAAGGTAAAAGCTGAGACAAGAAAAAACAAGATTTAGCTGTATTAACTGCATGAAATAAAAGGCGTGAGTTTTGCTCAGGCATATGGCCATGCTGGCTCAATAACCCTCATGATATTGATGAATCTGGGATGTGCAGGAAATGCAAGGCAAAAGCTGCTTTTCCCCTGTGCAGCACCAAGCAGAATCTGTCTTCCTAGAATCGGAATGATGGGACAGGTGTATTAGGTTAGACTGTGAAGGTGCGCCTCCCGTGCAAACACAATATAGGTATTTTTAAATATACTTTTGTGTCTTTCCAAATAGTCCAGTTTCTTAACTGGATTTAAAATCTTTCCAATGTTCATCCATAATGCACACTTCCCTTTGCTTTTTACTAGCTATTCAACTTCAACTTCGAGTGAACCCGCTCTTCTTGTAATGGCTTGGGGTTTAAAGAGAACAAAGTTCAATTTTTATCATCCCTAACTGGGAATTGTCAAATTTAATGTCATCCAATCTGCAAGATGTTTGGATCTAAATAGATTTGTACATCAGCCTGTGCTTACCTAACTCAGATTTTTATTTGCCTTTGGTATATCTGACCCGCAAATATGTTTTGAAATTATCTGGAATGTATCAGAATTTTCCCATGGTTTTTGAAGCAAAACACTTCATTGTGTCACCAGCAAACTTGCACAGCTAGCTGTCGTTTCACTCTCCCAAGCCTTGCAGCTGCAAGGAAAACCTCTTATTGGCTGACTTGTCCACGCCAGGCAGCCTCCCACAGGCTACTGTGGATATTGTCTGCCTTTTGGAGAGGCTACTCCTGTCTTGTTTTATCATGGAGATAGAGGAGTCACGGACAGAACTGTAATTGTGACCACAGCTGTGATTGATTGGTGCTTTGGCCACCAAGGAGAGGAAAAGAAACTAAGAAAACAGGAAGAGAGAAACAGTGGGGGTGTCTGGGGAAGAGAGGTGGAGAAAAGATGGAGAGGAAAGAAGAACAACAAGAGAGGAGTCAGAATGTAGAGGAAAACATTCCTGAAGCCAAAAACAGCTTCTTGCGTCACTCACAGATCCAAAGCTCGGGTCTGGACAGAGTTGATTCAGGGACAGAGGAACGATGGAAGCCTTGGGCCATTCATGTACATTTTACAAAAGCTGTTTGTAGGGAGGACAACAGGGAAATAAATAGAGGAAAAGGGCAAAGAAGTAGAATGAGAAAAGAGAAACTGAGTATTCTAAAACATTCTTAGATGATGCTTGTTTTAAAAATTGCTTTTAGGGATGAACTTTTAAGTCTTCTTAAACAAGGAATGTATATTCCCTTAGTTTCTTCTCTTGGCATTTTTGAAAAAGAAAAGAACCAAATTGATCCATGAGAAACTAAGCACAGTTTTTGACCCAGTTATACCCATGTAAGAGGCAAAAGGGAGAGAGGAATGATGAAGGTGCATTGCTAAAGCCCTCAACAGTTACTATTATTAGTCCCATTGTACAGATGGTGAAACTGAGGTTCTGAAATGTTAAATGAAGGTGACACAATTATTAAGTGTCAAATCCTGCTTTTGAACCTATAAATGCTTGATTCTAAATTTTGTAATTTTTACTTTTCTCCACTAGATCAGTATTTGGTGTACTATGTCTTTTTAAAAAATATACATGCATCTGT
Source organism: Homo sapiens (assembly GCF_000001405.40). NCBI lineage: Eukaryota > Metazoa > Chordata > Mammalia > Primates > Hominidae > Homo > Homo sapiens. The sequence goes on along the minus strand of NC_000003.12, from coordinate 171,837,697 downwards.
GAAATTTACCACGAAGTATACAAAAACCTATAAGGCTGTACTCAAACTGAGGACATAAGAAGAATGGGATGATGCTGTGTTTACTTACACCAAGGAGGCTTGATCAGAACTGCTGATTCTGCTCCTAGTTATACAGAAAAAAGAATGGAATAAAGAGATTCTTTACTTTCTCTTTTAAAAAAAATTAGACCAGAGGAGAGAGCTAAAAGCAAAGGCAAAGGTTTGTTTCTGTGCATTGATATAAAAGTCCCAGAATATCTATCTAGAGTGTTTCTGTGCATAGTTTTCTGTTTTCCAGTGCTGTATGAGTGGGCTGTTGCCATTGATGTGGAGATGGACTGGAATGGTTGTCATATGCAAGGTTCCCGAATAGGACAAGGAACAACCTGCTGCAATAGAAAGAAACTAGGGCTGTATGACCTGGAGTAAATTTAAGCCTCCCGTAATCTCGGTCCTTCTCAGCAAAATGTGGAGGTTGGACTGGATAATTTCCAAGACTCCTTCTGTCTCTACCATTCCGTGACTTAAAATAAATCCCAAAGGAGCAAAAATACCTATGTGACCAGATTGCCTGTCCCAAAGAGACTTTATCTGTTAGAGTCGACATGCCAACTTGTGTTCCCCTCTATCTGGTACAAGCTGTGGGCACATAATAAGCACTGCACACACTGTGATTTGGCCAGCTGAATTCTTGCTCAAGAGATTTCAGACAGTATTCCTCTAAGGAGGCCTCACTTTGGCCCCAGCAGAACACAAAAAGGCAATAACTGGGAGCCAGCATCTACCAGCTAAGTAATTAGCAGGCTGTGAGTAACAAATTGGTGACCATAGCCCAGCTCCTGTTGTCTGTGTCATAAAATAATTAAAACTGGCCAACAAACACAGCAGATGCCAAGATGGCCAAGGGACAATGGAACATAAAGTCGTATCACTCTTGTTTCCCATCTTCTTGGAAAGGGATGAAAAACTGGGGGAAAAACTGGTAACACTTGTAGGTATGGAGTTTATGGTACACATGGAATGGAGAAATGAGAATTCAACAAGGATCTGGTGTAGCAGAGACCTAAAAGGCAAATCCCCATCTACTGGCCAACACTAGACAGAGGATATCTCTGTAAACCAGTTTCTGATTGATCATGAAACAAAGTTCTTTCTCTGTCTTTTCTTTTCTTTCTTTTCCTTTTTCTTTTTTTTTTTTTTTTTTTGAGATGGAGTCTTGCTTTGTCACCCAGGCTGGAGTGCAGTGGCGTGATCTCGGCTCACTGCAACCTCCACCTCCCAGGTTCAGGTGATCCTGCCGCCTCATCCTCCCGAGTAGTTGGGATTACAGGTGCGCAACACCACACCTGACTAATTTTTGTATTTTTAGTAGAGATGGGGTTTCACCATGTTGGTCAGGCTGGTCTCAAACTCCTGACCTCATGATCCGCCTGCCTCAGCCTCCCAAAGTGCTGAGATTACAGGCGTGAGCCACTGTGCCTGGCTCTGTGTTTTCTAAGCAATGTTAAAAATATCATGAGCCTCAATTTTCTGTATATTTCAACACATGTAGAAAAGCAAAGTGAGCTAAGGTTGGTACAAACAATTTGGTTCACTGTCTCAACTTCATCCACATCTCTGCTCAAAGATTTTCCCTTACCAATCTCCCCCTCTCCATCCCTTTATCTGGCTTTATGGATCTTCATGGCCTCGTTACCACCTGACTTTATTCTTCATAGCTCTTGGCTTATGTCTTTACTGTGTGTCTTCCCAATTAGAATAACAGCTTCATGAAGGCAAGGACTTTGTTTTATTCACCACTGTATCCCAGAGCCAAAAACAATGCCTGTGGTCTATAGTAGATGCACAGAAAGTATTGTTGAGTCAATGAACTAATGAATGAATGAATGGATGAGAGTGAATGAATGAAACCACTGCTTATCATCACAGTTGTTAGTTTACTTAGTTTTAATTTTTTTGAGTTTTATTTTTTGTATAGATGGGATCTTGCTATGTGCCCAGGCTGGTCTTGAACTCCTGGCTTCCAGTGATCCTACTATGTCAGCATCCTAAAGTGCTGGGGCTACAGGCATGAGCCACTGCACGAAGGCTACAATTGCTAGTTTATACAGACCAGTTTGCTGTGAAAGCTAGCTTCTCAGGCCTTCCCTCAGAAACAAGCGATATTTAATATTTTGGTCTTAAACTGCTCCAGCCCTCTTCTTTATGAAAATCCACACTGAAATACAAAGAAGATCTTCCAGGTTAGCTCACCTGGAAACTGCATTGTGAATTTACATGCGTTGTATGTAGATACATGGGAGAGCTGCACTGAAGTGACCCATGGCTGAGATTATTTTGGGCTTGCTATGTCAGCACACGACACATTGACACATGACTCTGCGTTAAATAGAGGAAGATGCAACATCGCAGACTAACTGCCTGAAGTCCGGCAAGAACTTCTGCCTCTGGGAAAAAGCTCTGACAAACACCTTTTAAATCCACTGCTGACTTTTAAAGTAGTTGCTGTTCATGATGACCTATCTAATTTAATAGATCTTTTGCTTGGCCTGTGGTTTTATGTATTAATATCTCTACATATTAAAATCTTTTCTCTCTTTCAGCAGACCTCTTTGCATAGGTAATACTTTCCCCTAATTGTGTAGAAAAGTAAGATACTGATATTAACATTTTAACTTGGAAAAATTTGGCTATGCAAACTCATGTTTCTATTGTAGTTTCATATGACGATAATGTGGTCTTTTCTAAAACAGGAAAATTGAACGACTAAGTGCATCCGTATGACATAAGGAGCCAGGTCACACACTCTAAACATCACCTACTGAAGGCAGATTGAGGGTATCAGTTTTGTATCGAAAGGCTCACAATTTATTTTCTCTTTTCAACAACCCAGATATCCTGCCTTTGTTTTTGTTTTTATTTTTCTTAAAGTGGCACGATACGAGAAACGGATGTTTGTGGGACTTCCACATCACATTTTCCTAGTACGTAAGCCCTTCCATTTCTTCCACACAATCCACACAGCGCAGATTGACATAAAAGATAAAAGCTAGGCCTCTGCAAGACCCCTTTATCTTACAGACTAAAAAGAATGTAGGGCAATGACAATGAAAGGCACAGAGTAATAACCCAACTGGAGTATCACAGGCAGAGCCAGCAAGGACCTTTGAGACCAGCCAGTCCAAGTCTGCCATTTCACAAAAGAATTCCAGTTAAAATACCAAGAAAAAAGTCATCCAATTGCAATATTAACCTAATATTGAATAAGGCTGTTGTGACTGATTATCTTTCTGCTATATCTGTGTTTAGCACTAGGTGTTGCTATACTGCTATTTATAGACCAGCTTCTCTTTGATACCCAACAGGAGCTTAACCTTCTAATTTGAGTTCCCTTTTGCAAATGCTGAGTTTCTAAAATCGTACTCTGCTACTATATAGTATGTTACATTGAACTAGCTTCATTTAAATGGCACAGGTATGACATGTTTAATCAGCTGAAATAGCTATCCTGAAAAGAAGTGGTCAATAAATGCTAGGGAACTCCAAAGTTAAATTTTTCAAATTGTCCTAATTCAAATATTTACTTAAACTCTTTTTATATTATGCGCAATACAGGGGGAATGACATTGTTAGCTGTGCGTTTCCTGGAACTGACTAACTGCTACAAGGCCACAGATAAAGTTTGTTTATAGAAAAACAAAATATGAAAAAACATTTAGCAGTGTTCTATTTGGGGTTTAATAATCCCACACATGCTGAGTGGGAGAAAGGATAGTCATCCAGAACCTTTCTCTCCCCATGGTAACAGAGGATGAAAATGCTTTAACCCCATCTAGTGACAGATGAGTCATGATTTAGATTAGTTCAGTTGTTCAAAATTTGAGTGGTAATACCAAATTTTTGGGATAAATAAGTGATGCCCCAAGAAACTCATAGTTTAGGAAGAGGGCAAATTTTCATTTCACCTTTAGGTTTTAAAGGATAAAAAATTCCCCTATTACATGTGAGTCCTCAATATCATTACTTGGTTCATTAAATTTGGATAAATTTGGCATAAGCTCAGCACAATTGTTCAAATTCTACAAGTCACTTTTGTTAGCATCATCTAGTGCTGAGTTTAAAATCTTCTGAATATATGTAACAAAACAATGTCTAGTGTATTGCTTCTAAATATGTTTTTTAGTTTTGGTTATTTATTAGTAACTATTTGTAACAATAATGATCAAGTAATGATGCTAATAACAGTCCTAAGTTTTTACTGGAAAGAAAAGTGGAAGACTGAAGACCAGAGTGGCAGCATCTTCATCACCTTATGGAGCTTAGAGTAATGTTCCTGCAGAATTAGCTACCAGGATCTATAATATAAACACTTCATTCTAGTCCTAAAGCGAGGGTTTCTTCTAATTTTTATAGTTTTGGCCTCAGGCTAAAAGAACGAAGTACTTGGCTGAAGTATTCCTTTTTTTTTTTTTTTTCACAACGTGTTCTTCCCAACTCTCTCCCCAGCACAAACACAGCCCTTCTTTTCTGAAGATTTTATTTCCTTTATGTCCTTTGAGGATAAAACTATGCTTTGTGGTTTTTATACCATATTCACTTAAGATATTTAAGATATTTGAAAACAGAGTGAACTGTATATTCTTTCGCCATATAGGTCCTCCTTTCCCCATCACTCAGAGCCTCGATGATAATGTAAAGTAGTATCCACCATTATTTTTGCTCTTCTTTTTTTTTGAGACAGAGTCTCACTCTATCTCCCAGGCTGGAGTGCAGTGACGTGATCTCGGCTCACTGCAACCTTCCACCTCTTAGGTTCAACCGATTCTCCTGCCTCAGCCTCCCAAGTAGCTGGGATTACAGGCATGTGCCACCACACCCAACTAATGTTTGTGTTTTTAGTAGAGACGGGGTTTCACCATGTTGGCCAGGCTGGTCTTGAACTCCTGGCCTCAGATGATCTGGCCACCTTGGCCTCCCAAAGTGCTGGGATTACAGGCGTGAGCCACCATGCCCAGCTTTTGCCCTTCTTTTGTTATGCTCTGTATCAAAAATGGTAAACTTTTCAAAAGTGCTCAAAACTCTAATCCATGTTCTTGTAAACTTGGTGTAAGAGGTGCTTATATGACAAGTGAATTGTCTGTTTCCTATAAAGTAGAGGAGGGAAGTAATTTTTTAAAGAACCCAGTTTGGAAATAAATGTTTAGTAAATGACAGAAAGGCAGGAAGGTAAGAAACAGTGTAGAAAGCACACTGAAGAAGACATTTCTGCCATCTTTGGTGAAACCTACACAGATCATTTACAGGCAAGTCTATGGGCACGTGTATAGGGGGTAAGAAATAGTAAGAGCTGTGAAAATAGACTTACCATTTACACACACACACAGACATGCATACATAAATTATCAAATGTTTGCCCTTTGTTTTTCCTAATACTCAATTAACCGAAGTTATATTAAAAAAAAAAACCTTTCTAGTGTCATCCACTAATCTTTTCCATCCCCTTTTATCCTCCAAGCAAATTTCATTCACGTAATTCCAAAGAGGCGAATCAATCTGGGTCCTGCTCTTGCTTAATCATTACTTCCAGCATTAAAATATGCTTTTAAATATGTAGTTAAATATGTAGTTAAAGTACTACTCCTGTTTTTCAGTTTGTTCCAAGATTGAGACAAAAGCTCCCTACCAAAAGCAAAATGAAAGCCAAATTCCTACCCTTTTGCCTCATTTCATATTTTATTATACTATGTTTCCTAAAAACACATTTTGTAAATATGGAAATGGACCATGTTGTGTGTAACAAAGGTCAGGCTATGCCCGTTTAATACAAGTTGTGATCCTCAGAAGACATCCACTTCAGGCCACCTACAATTTACCTTTGTTCCTCTTTCCTCCATATAGGAAAAAAACAACAACTAGAAAAAAATTATAAAACTCAACTATATGCACTTTAAGGCCAATGATAACTCAAAGGCTTTTAATACCTACAACAGGGTCGGAGCTCGCCTGAGCTGAAAACTGAGGATTGCTCACTGACGTACAGACGCAATATTCACCAATCAAGAAATATAGTAATGAGGGCAGACCATATGATTACAAGGTGCTTCTAAAAAGCATATTAAAATCTAGCATTATTAAAGTACTATAAATGCTTGCTTATGACCAATGAAGCCACAAACACTGTGAAGAGTTCATTTTATGTATTAATAATAATAAAAATTCTCAGAAAAACTTTTTAAGTTTTTCTTGTTAATTCTGGGCTAGAGAAGACAATCTTTTCTTTTTCTTTTTCTTTCTTTTTTTTTTTTTTTGAGACAGAGTCTCGCGCTGTTGCCCTGGAGTGCCGTGGCGCGATCTTGGCTCACTGCAACCTCTGCCTCCCAGGTTCGAGTAATTCTCCTGTCTCAGCCTCCTGAGTAGCTGGGACTACAGGCATATGCCAACACGCCTGGCTAAATTTTTTTTTTTTTTGTATTTTTAGTAGAGAGGGGGTTTTCACCATGTTGGCCAGGATGGTCTTGATCTCCTGACCTCGTGATCTGCCCACCTCGGCCTCCCAAAGTGCTGGGATTACAGGTGTGAGCCACTGCGCCCGGCCCTTTTTTTTTTTTTTTAATTAAAGACATTTCAAAGAGCACATACACATTGATCAAATCTGAGAAGCATTTACAACATAGATTTAATGCCATTTTGAAAAATCGACATATAATTATTGTACATTTTTATGGGAAACATAGTGGTGTTTCAAAATGTAAAATCTATTGTGATCATATCAGGTTAATTTGCGTAATCATCATCTCAAACATCATTTCTTTATATTGGGAACATTCAATATCTTCTTTCTAACTATTTAAAAATATATAATCTATTATTGTTAACCAGAGTTATTCTGTAGTGGTATAGAACACTGGAACTTATTCCTCCTCTCTAGCTATAATACTGCATCCTTTAATAAGCCTCTCCCTATTCCCTCCCCCATCCCCCATCCTTCCCAGCCTCTAGTATCCTCTGTTCTACTTTCTACTTCTATGAGATCAACTTTTTTTAGCTTCCACATATGAGTGAGAACATGTGGTGAGGAATAATTTCTATAGTTGGTTTTTGAAAAACATAATTATTTCAGTTAGGAAAACCTTATGCTCTGTTTTCTTAGAAGAAAGATTTGTATAATTTTTGGTGCAAATTTAGTGAATAAAAGCCTTTATTTTTAACATATGAGTGTAACTCTGGAATGAAAAATCAGTAGACTCTTTCTAACCTAAACATGGTGTTTGTCAACAGTAGACACTCTGAAAGCACAGAGGAGGTATTACTTTTACCAGCTTTTCCTCATGAGGAAAGATACGGGAGTGTGCCCTTTGAAGGATGTACACCAGTTTTCTCTTCTAACTGTTTTTCAAAATAGTTTAAAACACACGAGAACCCTGGTGCTCTAGGCCACACTATTTTCCTTTACTTCACCCTGGCTGCAGGACCGCGGGACTCTGTCCCAGCTCGAATGTTCCAGGAGATGTCTCCCTCAGGAGCCTGCTCTTCGGGCAGCACAGGCTCCCACACTCATTTCCTCCAGCTGCCTCCAGGTGGCCCTGGGCCCCATGCCTTCTGCAGCTGCTGCAGTGATTCCTGCTGTTGCTTGTCCTTGGCAGATGGTCACAGTATGGTCTATCCCATTATCTTTGGACCCAGCTACTGGCCTTGACTTTCCTTCTGTGGGAGGATTTTTCTTCCCCAGTGGACTCTCAGCTTCATGCAAATACAGCTGACTGTAGAACCTCCTTAGTCTTGTCTGAATTTGCAATAGTTTAGCCTGACCTGGGGGCCCTCAGTTATGTAAAGATTGGGACTATCACTATCAATCAGTCATCTACTACATTGTGCTTAGCACTATTTGACACTGCAGAAAGAAAGAAGAAAGGAAGAAAGGAAGGAAGGAAGGAAGGGAGGAAGGGAGGGAGGGAGGAAGGGAGGGACTAGAAATGAAAATCCTAAAAGGCATATGTTTCCTGACTGTAAGAAATTTATTGTCTATTTGATTATAATCACTCATAGCTAATACTCTGCAAATTTTATAATGAGATGACTAAACCAGAGAGCATATCTAGAGGTCATCTTAAAAACATTTGGTAAGCAGTCAATCAATAGCAATCAGTCCAACCAGCAAGCTCCTGATAGATATCATTGCAAAAAACATTTTCTCCTTCCAGGATCAAATCCAAGTTCATGGTTTTAGCAAATGAAAGTAGAAAACCTCTTCTATCCATCAATCTCAAATCCAATTTTGGCCTAGACTTCAGAACAAAACTTAGCTCTAACCATTTTTTTAAAGTCCTTATGCAATATTTTTTCACAAATACTCTCACAGAGGAGGAAATTACAAGGTAGGGAAATTGCATAAGCTATCTACTCATTAGCAGATCTAAGTACTGGGTCCAGAGTTATGTATGAACTCCAAAATCACCATCAGCCGTAGCATTGCCCCTGTGGCACTGGGGAATGTGTCCAAAATTCTCTGGGATGAGGCAGCACCCTCCTCCTGCCTCCCCATCCTACAAACCCAATGTGGTTGGGCCAATAAGGGCACATACACACAAGCGATAAAGCTTGTCATCTAGTCAGAGAATGGGGAGATATCACTTCTCTGTTCCGGGTATGACAGTCTTATTAATACTGCCTATCATCACAGCAGCGTTGCTGTCATGCTCTTAGATACCACTGAGCTTGCAGTGAGCTGAAGCTCTCAGGTCTTTTATTGCATGAAGTCTCGTTAAACCAGCCATCTCCCCAATCCCATCTATGTGAAGTTGATTTGTCAAACTTTACACTATTATTGCTTAAATTCTTGGTAATTTTAACCCACTCTCCAATTCATGTTAAATCATTGTGAATCTTGATTTTGATATTTTCCCTTAGTTTTCATCTGCAAATTTAATAAGCACAACTTTAAAATTTCCATCTACGTTATTATATGAAGGTGCACAGAGTCCTGTGGCAATTTACTGGAGACATAGCTCCACGTTAATATTCGCACATTATAATAAGCACTTTTTGGATATGCTTATTCAACCAATTTAGCTTTCACATAATAAAATAATAAGAAATCCCATGTGTAACTATTCTGATTTACCAGCTCAGTAGGTCTATCCAAATATCATATTAGGTTTGTTTATGATAACTCATTCCTAGAGAATTCTCGCTGGCTCATTGTGATTCTTCCTCATCTTAGAAAAATAATAACATTCATGAATAGTTTTCTGTTTATAAAAGTAATAAGTGTCTATTTGTAGAAATGTTTTGAAAACAAATGCATAAAGAAGAAAAGCCACACAGAATCTCACCTCCTATGACTGTAGGCATTTTGGTTCATTTCTTTTCAGCTTGTTTTTTATGTTCACTCCTCCCTACTCCATCCCTACCGTCGTGCCTTACACACATCTTATGAAATCCCCTCCGCTGTTCACTCCGCGCCTGCCCTTCCCCCAGCTTAAACATTGAGAAAATATGAATACAACAAAACCAGAAAAAATGGTGAGAAGACTCGGAACTTTAAGGTCAAAAACTGTAAGTCTAAAACAGAAATGTTTGCATACATATTTGTAAGAGTGACTATTCTTGAAACCAGGTCAGAGGAAGTCAAGGAAGTCTGAGGTATAGACTTAGAGTTATCACGGCCAGGAGCAGATCAAGATAAAGAGAACACAGCCTCAGCCAGTGCAACTACCACCTGTCATCTGCACCAGGGAGCCACGCGGTTGCCCAGGTAGTCTTGCTGATGTCCAGTGGAAGCCACCAGCCAATACTGGCCAGTAAATTGTCTTGCGTTATAACCTTCTGTGGCCAAGGCTTTGCCCTACTTTATACAGCCCTTTCTTCAATAGCCCCAAATAATATCATGGAAGAGATAACTCAACTTTAGTACAAAGCCTTACCTGCATTAAATGAATTTAAGACCCAAGTAAAATCACTGCCATCTCCCCTCCAACGTATGTATTTTGGGGAGTCTCTAAGTTTCTGTCAATCTGAGGGTCTACCAAAGTAGCTGCCTTATCTCTGCCAAAGGGAGGTGCTGCCACCACCCGCAGAAGCTAGAGACCTACTGAATGCCTTCTTACCCACCCAGCCAAGGCTGCACCCACAAAGATCAACCTCTCTCAATGCTTTGTCTTGATGCCTCCAGCCCACTTGGTGCCTGGCAGCTCAATGCCTGCTCAGCCAGCATCTAGTTAGATTGCTCTTTTGATACCCATACAGCTTTAACTCCTCAGGCACGCACAACTCCTCAGACACACACACTTTTCCAGATCCACCAGAATGTGTTTCTTAAATCAGATGCCTGTGATCCTGGCAGTGCTCAGTGATGTGCCAGAGGGACTCAATGCCCCAGGACACCCACAGAGCATCTTTTGAGCATCCATTTAATGTAAGGATAAGAGAAGGAACTTTAGCTTTATATTAAAATAATTAAGGAAGTACTGCGGATTAAAATGCAAAATGTGAATTTAAAATGGAGATGAAATACCCACTTGAAAGCAATTTGATTGCCCTGCATTCTCTTTTTTTTTTTTTTTTTTTTTTTTTTGAGATGGAGTCTCGCTCTGTGGCCCCAGGCTGGAGTGCAGTGATGCGACCTCGGCTCACTGCAAGCTCCCTCCCTGGTTCACACCATTCTCTTGCCTCAGCCTCCCGAGTAGCTGGGACCACAGGCACCTGCCACCACGCCCGGCTAATTTTTTGTACTTTTAATAGAGGTGAGGTTTCACCACATTAGCCAGGATGGTCTCAATCTCCTGACCTCGTGATCTGCCCGCCTCGGCCTCCCAAAGTGCTGGGATTACAGGCGTGAGCCACTGCTACCGGCCTGCCCCGCATTCTTAAATAACACATGTCTACCTCTAATACCACTTCGGGGTATGTGTTTACTGTCCTCAATCCTCTGAAGTACTTGGAATGAAACATTTGAAATCCTTTCCCTGCTGTGCCTGAAACTGTTGCTAAGTTCAGCTCAACTCACCAGTCTCCTATTTACTCTGTGACATATAATCACCCAAGGGCCCCAGAGTCCTTCTCTGCAAGCCCACTCCTGTCCTATATATCTTGTCCCCTATGAGTCTGCTGGACATATCTGTCGTACCTGAACCCAGATGTGGATGTGGCGGAAATGTTTTTCCTCGGAAGGCTTTTTATGTCAATCTAACTCCGTGGCCATAAAGATGATTGAAAGGGAAGACTTTGCTTAGTCTTACACAGCAATTCTCAGGCCCAGGCCAATCAGGTTTTGCATCTTGATTTTAGAATCTAAGTTTAAATTTTGGTTACTTTTTTCACATTAGTAACTATCATTCAAAAACATTATTTTAATAACTTTATAGTATTTTACTATTTAGTTGTACAATAATTTAGGTAAACATGATTATAAGATTTTTATGTCATTTCTATTTTTTGTGATTACAGATCACATTAGAATTAATATTCTTAATTTTTAAAATAAATCCATAATTTTTACCTTAGGATAAAAATCCTACAATTGGAATTTCTAGGCTAAAGGATAAGAAAAAAAGTTTGAATGTATTGATATGTATTTGCCAAATTATCCTGAAAAATGTTTAACTCTTCCCAACAACGAACACACCTGCCTGCTTTCCCTCACTCTGTGCTCACTAACAAAGGTCTTATCATTAAGAGAAAAAAAAGTGTTTAGATTTAATACATTAAAAAATGTTATTTTATTGTGCTTTATTGTTATGTTTCTAAACTCCCTGTGGGGCACTTACTTATTTATTTATTAATTTGTCATTTTATTTTTTCTTTTGCAAACTGGCTGCTTGTGCATCTCATTTTTCTGTTTGTTTTCTTTTATGTGTCTACAAATTACAAGCAAGCCTTTTCTTCAACAAGTTGAAAAATAATCTCTTTAGAGGTCAGATTTCCTGAAGTCACTGAAGAGCCTTACTAATTCCCATATGACACTGAAAGAAACAACAACACACAACACATGCCTTCCCCGGACTTCATCTGGAATTCCCACTGTAGTAACTTTTCCAACAACATTGTGAAATCCAAGAAATCCTGGGGCTCTATGCGGCTCAGTTTACACAATCATAGTCAGTCACAGTGCACTGACCACAAGCGTCATTTGAAAAGATAAGTTTTGAAATTTACATAACATGATGACCGTAAAGTGGGATCCAATTCATACTCCAAGCAACAAGGGGCTCAAGCCCTCTCCTGACACCACTCTGGATCCTCTTGGCCCCACACTTTAACACTTTCCCTCTATCCTATTCCTATGTACATTTTTCTTCCTCTCCTTTCCTCACTCTCCTAGATCTTTATCATGTAAATGAGCTCAGCATCTCTGCCTAAATCCTTTCCACCTTCATATTTGCCTTTCCTGCCCAGTTCCTTCCTCCCCTTTCTCCTGAACTTGGATTAAAAACAAACAATGAGCAAACAAAAGCAAGGAAGTTGAGGAACACTCTCGGCAAAGAGCACTACAACCTGCTAGCACCCACAGGCCTTTGATACCACCAGAAGCCACAGTTTGCCCCTGCATGGAAATAACTCTGCACAGCACCTCAGAGCTATTAACAATTCCTGCCAATTAACTCCCACCGTGCCCAACTTCCCAGTTATTCTCAGCCTACTCCCCAGTGCGGATGCACCAATTACTCATCCTCGCATGTGCTGTGTATTTTGTCCCCTCTTACTCATCAGCTCCCCTTGCTAACTTAGGCGGGAGCTTTACCTCTCGCGGTAGTTAATATTAGGTGTCAACTTGAGTGAATTGAAAGATGCCTAGGTTGCTGGTGAAGTATTGTTTCTGGGTGTGTCTGTGAGGGTGTTGCCAGAGGAGATTGTCATTTCAGCCGGTGGACTAGGAGAGGAAGATCCACCCTCAATGTGGGTGGGCACCATCCAATCGGCTGCCAGAGAGGCTAGAACAGAGCAGGTGGAAAAAGGTGGGATGACCTTGCTTGCTGGGTCTTCTGGCTTCCTTCTTTTTCCCATGCTGGATGCTTCCTTCTGCTCCTCCTGCCCTTGGATATCAAACTCCAGGTTCTTCAGCCTTTGGACTCTGGGGACTTGCACCGGTGACTTGCTGGGGGCTCTCGGGCCTTCAGCCACAGACTGAAGGCTGCACTGTTGGCTTCCCTGGTTTGAGGCTTTCGAACTTGGACTGAGTTACTACTGGCTTCTTTCTTCCCTAGCTTGCAGACAGCCAGTTGTGTGACTTTGCCTTGTTATCATGTGAGCCAATTCTCCCTAATAAATACCCTGTCATACATACATATATCGTATTAGTTCTGTCCCCCTGGAGAACCCCGACCAATACGCCTCTGGAGCCTGTGTTCCTTTGTCCTCTAAACAAGCTTCTCATCCTGAACCTGTTGCAGAACAATACCATGTGGCTTGTGCTCCTGCAATGCTGTGCCATTCACTGCAGTCTGCTGGAAGCATGCCATCGTGAGATAGCACAGTTCCTCAATCTTCAGCGCATCAAAGCTTACCCCTCTTTTTGCCAACAACACTTTAAGATGATTTCATCTTCAGTTTAAAAATGTTGCGACCTTTCTGTTTATGAGTTTGGCTTGCTTACATGCAAAAGTTATAAAGGAAAAAAAAGCAGCACAATACGTATTTGTTAAATTTATGGAAACATTATTTTATGGGTAAGTTACAGATATTCGCACAATATATAAAAGAAAGTCACCTTGGTAAAGTGCCCATGAGGACAGCGAAGGGCATTCTCTAAAAATGTTAAGAATAAGTTGGCTGGAATGGGACCCAGATGTACGATACCAAGTGTAATTTATGTGCCAAGGCAGGACCCAGAGTGTGAAGAAGGTGGGATGGGAGGTTCCTCTGATGGATGAAGAACAAAGACCTTTCACCTCCAGGATGAGTAAGGCTCTGACAGCAGGCACTTTCGCCTGGGCTTTTTATGTCAGACTATGTCCAATAAAAGAATTAAAAACCTTAAGCCTTCCAAGCTTCCACCTTGAAGCTCCATGAGATTTCCCGCTGTCTGCTCATCTGTTGGTAAACCTAGGAAAGTTGTGCAAGTTGTTTTTTTGTTTTTTGAGGGTTCCTCAACGCCACTACACAAAATGAACTACTTGTCCCCCCTCATCTCCTTTTTTCTGTTTTTGTCGTAAATAGTGGTGGGGCCTTGTGTCTCTGCTTGTAGTTCTTAAGACGCTTTGAGGGGGAATCCGGCTGTGAAAGAGGAACCAATAAATACATTTCATGGAATGTTAAATTTCAGACCCAATACAACCACTCATTCTTCTATTCACCACTATATGCCTGTTCTGGCCCATTATTCGTTATTTCAAACTGTGACCCAATATTTTAATCCTGCCTCTCCCTCTAGCCCCTTTAAATCAGCTGTTCTGATTGTTTGCCTGTCTTTTGCTTTTGGTTCTGCCTTTGATGCTATCTCAAAAATCAAACTGGGCTTCCAGCTCTGCAATACTTGGAGCAGTGCTACTCTAGTCCTTGGATGGGTGAGTTCCCTGGACCCCTCTGAGAGCTCCTGCTTCATCATGAGGATACTGGAACAATACCATGTGGTCTGGAGGCAGTGTGGGAATAATCCTAAATTCACACTCTTGTTTCTCAGTGACTACCCTTCTATCCCTATGTAAAAAACCCTGCTTCTTTGAGGTTTTTGCCACCTGACTGCACCACAATCTTGCCCATTCTCATTTTCAATTATTGACGTCCAGGTTAATATTCCACTTTGAGAATGGGCTTTAGAGCATGGCTTACAGTCTGACTCACAATGCCTACTCTCGCTATATCTTTAGTACCTTCAGTGGCCTTGTGGATGATCCATTAAATGCCCCAGCCTCATAGTTCTTTGATCTCTTCAGCTCCAACCAGCTTAAAGCCCCACTTGATTCTAGACATTCATTCTCATAACTCAAGTTTTTCTGTGGCCAGCTGGACTGGTTCAATTGCAATTTGATGCAATGCAAAAGGGTGTAAAGAAAGGAGTGACAATCACTGTTGGTGAAAGAAGCCAGAGGCTGTAGTCTGAAAAGCAGCAGAGCCTCAAGTCTAGGGGATTAAGGGTAAAGGCAAGAGACGGACAGCTTAAACTAGGGAATGAGGTATGATCCTGTTTTGTAAATCTAGGGTAGTGAGCTCCAGGACATTAGGATAGATGTATTCACATACATACATGCAACTTCAGGGACTTTATAGACCCAGATTAAAGACGGCTCTCTTGAAGGATCAAGCTCATATTCTGTAGCATGTATACAAGGCCGCTTGGTTACGGCTTTCCTCAATCTGGACCCGCAAGCTCCATGTCCTTTACAAATGTTGCTTTGATTCAATTGAAGTTCACTGATATGCCATGCTACTTCTAAAGCTTGTTCTTTCTGCCTTCTCCCCATCCTCATTCCTAGCATTTCCATCAGCTAGTAAAGGTCTTTTTATCTGCACCTAAGCCCCGCCTACCTCCCCAAGTACAGAAAAGCCATCCCTTTCTGCCTTCTACAACACCTATTTCCTGTTTCCATTGCAGCATTAACCCCTAATGCAGCAAGGTAACTTTTCATGTTTTAATCTTGGTCCCCCACTAGAATGCAAACTACTTGTGGGTTAGGGACCAAATTTTCTTATCATTGTATTACCAAAATCATGCTCAGCATTTGGCATATGTTAGGTGTTCAATAAATTGTGGTTGAATAAAGTTCATTAGTACGTATTATCTAGAGCCACATCTAAAGCTTTCTTTCTGAAACCCTGAACAACAGATTGTGATTTCCAGTCTTCTGGTGACTCATATTCTCTATGGCTCCTCAGATATTACCAAGCATGGGTTCTTCAAATGCATCTACAATGTTTTTAGTGTCCTGGAATATCAAGCATCTGTGTTTAAAGAAGGGAATTTAAAGAAGCCAAGAGTTCTCTTCCTATCTGATTCTTCACTTATCTTAGACTTAACCCTTGTGGCTATTCTCTATTGTTTAGCATGAAAATTATTCCCTTTGATAGGGACAATGCTAACATAACAATTAAGTAATTCTGCGTTCTCTTTTCCTGGTCTGACCCAGCAATGGTTCCATCTCTTCTTCCTCCTTTTTCTTGCTCCAACTATAGCTTCATCAAATAGTTTTAAAATGTGAACTTAGTATTTATCATGAGTCTTTCATTATTCCAGGCTTCCATCTTCCTAAAACAATTCTTACTCTTTGAATATGTCCTTGCTTTTGGGTCCCTCTTTCCACCTCGTCTGTATGTGATTCAGAGGGACAGGAAACTCTAAGAACCTCCTTTGAAGAGTCTCTCACTACACAATCATGTCAAAATTTCTTTCAATGTTTTTGTGAAATCTACTTTTCTAATGTTTAGAGTTTGCATGTAAGTAGCCTCAGGGTTCCCATTTGAGGCTGTTGTAAATGTTAAGATAAAAATACACACTTTCTGCCAAGATTCTCCTTATTCCTGTCTTACCAACCAGTTCTTCCTTATGCGTCAGAATTAAATCCTGAATAGCAGATTTCTTCATTGCAAGGAAGTTATGAACAAGGCAAATCAAGAATTTGTTAGACACATCCCTTTTACCAGAGTGAGACTTTGCGGAGAATGTTGTCACTCTGTCTTCCCTGTGGGCCACAGTTCAGACATTATCCAGAGTCTTCAGCGAGCCAGGTAATTTATAACTTACTCCTAACACAGTTATTTCTTCTTTATCTTTCTCTCCTTTTACCCTCCTCCACTCCCTTTGGTTCATGTTTCTTAATTAGAGAGTTGAAGATTTAGCCTTTCTGTTCTCTTTCTTTCAACAGATTTAACTCATTCACTGTTGCTTTCAATATTTATATACAAAACTTTAGTGATACATATGTAATTTGTGTAAGGCTACAAATCGTCATTGCTTATTATCCATCTGCTCTAATTGGTGTACAGTTGAATCACATGGAGAAAAAAACTCCGAGGACAAAAATGAAAGAAAATGAATGAGTATATTCCTCATTTACATCTATTGAACCTAATTGCATTTCAACATTCATTATGACAGTCCATCTCACTTAAATATTAGCCTATTTTTTAAGTTCTAGATTTGTTAACAAATTTACAAGAAAAAATTCTTCATCTGTATATATTATATATTAATATCAAATCAATCTATTTTCATAAGGTGCAAGTCTATAGGAATTATTCCATTATAGACAAGTGAATAGAATTTATGGAAGATACTTTCTAATTAGAATTTATTTCTGTATGTTATGTGTAAAATTAGAATTTCTAGGAGCAAATATTAAACTGTACAACTAAACAAAAATAACCTAGTCTCACAATTCTCTGCAGAGTAGAAAGCATTAAATTTTAATTTACTTTTGTTTTAAAAAATAAGAAATTAAGTTAATAAAACATTTGGATGAATACAGGCACTCTCCCTTAAGTTTTTCTTGCTGAAGTAAAGATAATTAAAATAATGTAAGAAAAACAATATGGTAACCAAACATCAGGAAAAAACTTTGGAAGATGCATAAAAAAAATGTTGTAAAAGAATTTAAGGAGGCCGGGCACGGTGGCTCACGCCTGTAATCCCAGCACTTTGGGAGGCCGAGGCGGGCGGATCACAAGGTCAGGAGATCGAGACCATCCTGGCTAACCTGGTGAAACCCCGTCTCTACTAAAAATACAAAAAATTAGCCGGGCGTAGTGGCGGGCGCCTGTAGTCCCAGCTACTCGGGAGGCTGAGGCAGGAGAATGGCGTGAACCCGGGAGGTGGAGCTTGCAGTGAGCCGAGATCAAGCCACTGCACTCCAGCCTGGGTGACAGAGTGAGACTCCGTCTCAAAAAAAAAAAAAAAAAAAAAAAGAGAATTTAAGGAACAAGTGTTAGGACAAACTACACAGTGTGGGATGCTTGCTACAGCACTGGAGGAAAAAATGGATGTTTCTATAATGTCTTGGTTTGTGCTAAATTTTGCTTTAATTATATATTAGAAGTAATTTCTATGTTTTATTCAAGTAGTGGCAATCAGCAGAAGGCATACTGCATCCTTGGGACATTCTGGAAATAGGGAGGCATCTTTGATCAATACAGTGACTGGGAGGCACTTACTGGCATTTTAGTGGGTAGAGGCCAAGGATGCTAGAAGTCCTTGTAGGCATGGGATGGTCTTATACATTGAAGAACTGTCTCTTGTCCTGCAAAACTTCCAATGGTCTTACTGGACATTCAAGTAACTGAAAAACCTGCTAATTCTCTGAGCCCACATCTCACTCTGTTTTATACATAAACCTTAAATATATTGTTCGCACTCTTCTCATATACACAACATTTTGGGAGAATGTAACTAGTGTAAAATGGAGGAGAAAATGTACTTTGTTTGGAACTTCGCTGATAGTTGCTCACCACCAAGTCTTGCTTATTTAATAATCATGAACTGATTGTTCGTAAGTCGCTTGGCAGCAAAACTAGACCTGAATTGATTTGAGGCTATTTGGAAAGTTATATCACTGACAGCAATAATTTTATCAGGCCACAGTTATAACTGTCACATTCAAATGTCCATATAAGGAAATGATGTTGACTCTCTCTATTCAAAATGTCGTCCTTGGACCAGAGAATTGGAATCACTCTGAACTTGCTAGAAATGTCCCACTCTAGACCTGTGAAATCAGAATCCATATTTTCACAAGATCCAGAGGTGACTTGTATGTATATAAAAATTTGAGAAGCAATAATGTAGACAATAATTAGATGAAAATTCTTATACTTCCTTTTTTTTGAGATGGTCTCGATCTGTCACCCAGGCTGGAGTGCAGTGGTGTGATCTAGGCTCACTGCAGCCTCCGCCTCCTGGGTTCAAGTGATTCTGCCACCTCAGCCTCCCAAGTATCTGGGATTACAGGTGCACGTCACCATGCCTGGCTAACTTCTATATTTTTAGTAGAGATGGGGTTTCACCATGTTGGCCAGGCTGGTCTTGAACTCTTAGCCTCAAGTGATCCACCCTCCTCGGCCTCCCAAAGTGCTGGGATTACAGGCATGAGCCACCATGCCTGGACCCTGTTATACTCTTAAGTATATTCATCATAGATAGTACAAACATCTAACCCCTTTATTATGTCTTTAGTGTGGTTTCTTCAAGAATTTTACATATTAAGAGACATTCTATTTTGTTATAATTTATTTTCTCTTATTTCTCTTTTATTTATTGTCAGTGTATTTTATGTATTTTTGAAATTAGGAATTAATTTCATTTCCAGATGACAAAGAAGACAATGCAAAAATAAAAAGGTGTGTTGTTCTGATAGGGCTGAGAGCAACTGAGCAAAAAAGAGCGATGTATTGAAGAAGAAAAATATATTTCCAGTGCACATGATTTCCACTATAAAAACAATGTTTTATGGAAAAAAAACTGTCTCAGTGCACTGATGGAACAGCTGCTTTGACTGGAATAAAACTTGAATTCTAGGATAAGGGTACAGAGATAGCTCCAAAAATAAATTTATTCACTGCTTTTAATAAAAAACCAAAATGTTCTTGTAGCAAAGAAGTTGAAGCTAGAAGTGCACAAATTTGCTGTAAGATTTTGTTGATGTAGTTGATGGTTAATTTTATGTGTCAACTTGATTGGACTAGGGGATGCCCAGATAGCTGATAAAACATTATTTTTGGATATGTTAGTGAGGGTGTTTCTGGGAGAGATTAGCATATGAATCCATAGATTGAGTAAAGAAGATCACCCTTGCCAACTTGGTTGAGCATCGTACAATCAATTGAGCTCCCCAAAAGAACAAAAAGGCTGAGGAAACATGAATTTACTCTCTTTGAGCTGGGACATTCATCTTCTCCTGCCTTAGGACATCTGCACTCTTTGTTCTCAGGCCTTGGAACTTGGACTGTGACATACCCCATTAGCTCCCCCTGGTTCTTCAGCCTTCAAGCTTGGACTGGAATGGTATCACCAGCTTTCTTGGGCCTCTAGCTTACAGAGTGGGGACTGTGGGACTTCTCAGTCTCCACAATTGTGCAAGCGAATTCCTAATGTAAATTCCTATTTTATATATCTCTCTGTATATCCTATTGGTTCTGTTTATCTGGAGAACCCTGACTAACACATATAGATAATATTATCAAAGACAGGCATTTGTAGTAAACTGTTCACTGTTCTCTGCAGAGATGATGAGTGATTATGAAAACATGCTGTATCACGGATGAGAACACTGGTTATATCATGCCAGAGTATGTTTCATAGTTGTCAAATTTATTTTCTTATTCTTATTTTCTAAAAACACTAGTGCTTTACATTCTGTCTTTTCTATGATAACAAGTATCTGCCAATTCTATGGTAGTAAAGCAGAATTTTAAAAAGAAATTAGCCTTGTCTCTTCAAAATAAAAGTGTCACTTTAATAACAAATTAGAGAGTTTCCACTTTTGAAGGCAACTGAGGCTATGGTGACGGCATTCTGAAAGCAGGCCTTTTGCAGTGCTTCCTTCTTAACTGATTGACTTCTGAAAGTACGTATCATCTATAAAACTTCTCATATCTGCTCACTTTAAAAAGCTTGGAAATAGACATTTCTAATTCAGTTAAAAAGTCTTCCCAACAATGACTCTCAAGTGGGTTTTGAATCTATTTGTTACATATAATTGTTAAAAATAGAAAAATGCAATGCTTCTGATTAGTTGACAAAAAATATTGATCTCTAAGACACTGGATGAATTGGTTGTGGTAGAAAAGTCTTCTTAAAGAGTTCTTGCTTATCTGCAGAGTTTACTCAATTCTGTTTTAATTCAGGTCCATGATCACCTATTCATAATTCTAAAATCCAAAATTTCTGAAAACCAAAAGTTTTATTTGTGACTCACTTGGCAGCAAAACCTGATCTGAATTGATCTGAAGCTGTTTACAGTCTATTTTTCCATGCGATATGCCTATTCACATCTTTTGCTGCAGAAATATGAGGGTGTTTAACTGTGGGGTGCAGCCCTAGACCTCGTCAGGGGTATTACATAATATATGCTATATGAATTGTATATAGTTTCTGAAATCCATAGAATTCTGAATATGATAAATTCATCTGATCCTAGGAGTTTTGGAGCTTGTGGAGTTATGCAAGTACCAGCACTGAATAGGAGATGAATAAAGAATTGCAGTATTCTTGACTGGCAAGGGTCTTTTCCAATGTATTTTAATGTTAAGGGTCTATAATTCTGAAATTTCTTGCCTGATTTTTTGTTGTTATAAGGATAGAAGAATCCCATTTTTGGGCAGAGGTTCTGTAATTCAGGGTCAGCATGTCAACTAACAGATTGTTCCACATACACATATTTTTTCCTACAGGGGAGTTCTGATTCCCAGGAACACCCTGAGGGCCACTGAAGCTGAGACGTTTCTGAGAAATTCTTTTGCTTTATGTGGGGTGTGGGGTAAGGGTGTCTTGACTGGCCTTACAAACTAGCCTAAGGCATGAGTTTAAAAGTGCACCTTTAAGGCAACAGATTGTACAAGTGTGAAAAACGATACCAGCAACAGTTTAGTGTGAGTGTCCACAGGATGACCTTTCTACTGGAAAATGAAGAATGATGCAGGAAGATGAAAATGTTTTCCAAACCCCTTGGCTATCAGCAAATGTTTGCCAAGAAAACACTTCTATAATTCTCCAGAGGTTCTAAGTGATTAGAAAGCACACAGGCAGGGATCCAACTGACTCTCACCCTGGGAGGTTTTACCATTCTTACAATCATTAAACAACATTTATAACGAGTCTTTCTATTTCTATTCTTTTATTTTACAGAAAACATTTGCTTAGAAAAAACAATACTAAAATTTATATGGAACTACAAAAGACCCAGAATAGCTAAAGATATCCTAAGCACAAAGAATGAAACTGGAGGAATTACATTACCTTACTTCAAATCATACTATGGAGCCATAGTAACCAAAACAGCATGGTACTGGCATAAAAACAGACACACAGACTAATGGAACTGAATAGAGAACCCAGAAACAAATCCACACATCTACAGTGAATTCATTTTTTACAAAGGTGCCAAGAATATCCACTGGAGAAAAGACAGTCTCTTTAATAAGTGGTGCTGGAAAAACTGGATATCCATACGCGCAAGAATGGAACTAAACCCCTATTTCTCATCATACACAAAAATCAACTCAAAATAGGTTAAAGACTTTTTTTTTGATCCAATGATAGTTTTTCTCACATACCATTTACAGTTGGTTTTCCATTAAAAGCTATTCATATATGTGGCTCCCTTCGTAATCCTTTTAAACATAGTAGCCCTATGGACTTAACCTGTAAGTTACTATTATCCTTTATTTTATTTTATTTTATTTTATTTACAAAATGGATTAAAGACTGAAATCTAAGATTTCAAATTATAAAACCACTAAAAGAAAACACTGAGGAAACTCTCCAGGACATTGGAGTGAGCAAAGATTTCTTGTGGAGTTTATGGATTTTTTTTTTTTTTTTTGGAAACTGAATTCAATTGCGCTTATAGTTCTTTAATATAATTGCAGCAACCAATTGGCATGTAATTGTGTTATTCCAAACAAATATTCATTTTTAAATGGCTTTTTGCATGTTTGCTTATTTACTAATCATGCTAGTTTGCATAAATGTGCAAATCCATGAAAACAAATAAAATTATAAAAGTTATGTAAACATTATCCCATTACTGGATATATACCCAAAGGATTATAAATCATGCTACTATAAAGACACAAGCACACGTATGTTTATTGCGGCACTATTCACAATAGCAAAGACTTGGAACCAACCCAAATGTCCATCAATGGTAAACTGGATTAAGAAAATGTGGCACATATACATCATGGAATACTATGCAGCCATAAAAAAGGATGAGTTCATGTCCTTTGTAGTGACATGGATGAAGCTGGAAACCATCATTCTGAGCAAACTATCGCAAGGATAGAAAACCAAACACCGCATGTTCTCACTCATAGGTGGGAACTGAACAATGAGAACACTTGGACCCAGGGCAGGGAATATCACACACCGAAGCTTGTCGTGGGGTGGGGGGCTGGGGGAGGGATAGCATTAGGAGAAATACCTTATGTAAATGATGAGTTAATGGGTGCAGCACACCAACACGGCACATGTATGCATATGTAACAAAACTGCATGTTGTGCACATGTACCCTAGAACTTAAAGTATAAAAAAAAAGGTTATGTAAACATTGAAAATACAGAAATATTTCAAAAAAGTCATTAGATAGGGGGAGTGGGATCCATTTGGGCTTGTTGGACATGAAAAAGCTTCACAGGGACTGGCTATGGGTGACTGAGAAGACTTATCTTTGGTATTGCAGGGGGAGCTGTAGGCGTCAGTGTGGGACCTTTATAGTCACATGCTAGGCAGCTCACAAGTCGACCGTTGCTGGAAAAAATGATGAAACATACAAATGGGCCACAGGAAGCTGAAATGAGGATACAGAAACACAATGCTCTGCACATCTTGGCAATATCTGCTGTGTTGCTGTGTTCCTCATTCTCTCTTGAGATTTTTGGTGTTAACCACTGTCATTTTTTTACAAAAAATTTGAGCCTCACTAATGACACTGTTCTGATCTTTCAGTGAGTCACTGTTATGGTGGTTGAAGTGATTTATGTCATCAGGTAACTGGGGATACAACATCTTGCTCTATACTCCATGTCTCTAGAGAAACATGTGCATTGGTTAATTAACATTAGCAATTAGATGTTTGCGAATGAATGAATGAAATGAGTAGTTGCTAATCCACAGACTGTCAGGTGGACTGAAGGGCACAGAAGTCATACAGATTATGTCAGTGAGGATTATTGGGGACAAATAATGAATGCAGACTTGCTCTCTGAAGGAAAAGGGCACCGGGGCCTCACAGAATCAAGACAAAGTGGAAGAACAGCAGGAACTAAGGAAGCAACAAAAAGATTTAAAAAAAAGACCCACAAAACCTAGGAAGTAAAAGTTTCCTAGGTTTTACTGGTCAGGGTAAAGCTGCTGATGGGCCGCTTCTGTCTCTGTTCAATAAGCTCAACCTCAAAGATCACCGGCTCCCTCATCCCCTGAGATTCAGTCCACCTGGCCTATAGGGTAAATGGAATGGTGGTGGGAATATGGAAGAAGGATCTGACCTTCACTTTTGAGGTTACTGCTTGAAATTGCTGTCTTGCCAGGCCTATGCCTATTTGGGGAGAGGTAATTTTCTATAAGAAAATGGAACTGTCAGAAAAGATGATAGATGTTGGTATCCCAAAATGACTAGATGATCTGGATGGCAGTGCTTGTATCAAATGTACCACAAGGGAAAATCTGGGGGAGCACCATTTGTATGTCACTTTGATAAAATAGTTCTGTTTCTGTTGAAAGCATTATTGCAAATTAACAAGAAACTAATTTACCATAGAAAAAGAACAGGTAATGGACATGAATAGATCATTTTCAGTAAATGGTACAAATAATAACATGAAAAAATCGTGTTCAGCATTACTGATTATAAAAAAGTTGATTAAAACAAGATATGATTTTGATTCGTGACATTTTCAGGTTATAAGCAAGGCAATATTTAATACTGGAGGGTATTTTTGCAGCATCACACAGCACCTTAAAAATGTTTCTAAATGCTGATCCAGTATTTCTACTTTTAGGAATCTATCCTAAGGATGTAGAGATCTTGACAAAGATGATGCAACGTAGTGTTCATTCTAGCATGATTTGTAAACTGCAATAAAGTCTGAAAATATCCTAAAACATTTGATAAATGATTGTAATATTCTTCAACCACAGAAATGATATCTTAAAGAAAGTTTAATAACAGTAAAAAATAGTCAATTTATAAATACTTAGTGAGATAAGGAAGATTCTAAACTCTGTAAAGCATGGTGTTAAT
Source organism: Homo sapiens (assembly GCF_000001405.40). Taxonomy (NCBI): domain Eukaryota; kingdom Metazoa; phylum Chordata; class Mammalia; order Primates; family Hominidae; genus Homo; species Homo sapiens. The sequence goes on along the minus strand of NC_000003.12, from coordinate 171,812,812 downwards.
TTTATAACAAACCTCTGGGCATAGAAAAAATAAGGAAATATACTAAATGCTAATAGAGAGTGTGTGTGTGGGAGTTATAGGTGATTTTAATTAAAAATGTTTTTCTGTGGTCTCTAAAACATAGATGTAAAATTTTTTTTCTAAAATATAGATGTTAAAATTATAAAAATGAACATATATGTTTTTATTCTCAGAAGAAAATAGAACAATTAAAAGGATTTCAAATACCACTTTGACAAAAATGTCAAGTGCATATTGAGATGAATGTATAGCATGATTACTTAGTCACTGTTTCTTGACATCTTTGAAGATATGAAAGAGTTGGAAAGAAAAATCACAAAATCTCTCAGGAAAATAAAATAATTACATACAAAATCATACTACTTCTAAAATTCATGTTTGGGAGTCCATAAGCTTCAGTTCATCTCTAAACAACATATGGCATTTCCTATTTTATTCCTCTATCCCAGGGAGGCAGAAATTCAGTTATTGTAAGGGCACTTAGATAATTTTCTTTCTTTCTTTCTTTCTTTTTTTTTTTTGAGACAGAGTCTTGCTGTGTCACCAGGCTGGAATGCAGTGGTGCAATCTCAACTCACAGCAACCTCCTCCTCCCAGGTTCAAATAATCCTCCTGCCTCAGCCTCCCGAATAGCTTCGATTACAGGAACCTGCCTCCACCTCCGGCTAATTTTTGTATTTTTAGTAGAGCCGGGGTTTCGCCATGTGGCCCAGACTGGTCTTGAGCTCCTGACCTCAGGTAATCAACGCGCTTCGGCCTCCCAAAGTGTTGGGATTACAGGTGTGAGCCACTGCGCTTGGCCTTGATAATTTTATTTCTAATTAGATTTAGTAGAAAGACCTATTGTTGGAGGCAAGTGCCAAATGTTTTCATAGTGACACTTAAGAATTTGGGATGCAATTTTATAGACTGCTGCTTCTCAACCAAAAGCATTATAATTTCTAAAGACAAGCTTGTAAGAATGCAGTTACGTGTGTGCACAAGACTTATCAGACCATCTGTGACTAATAAAGCTTGAGAAAGAGGGGAGGAGAGAGGGTATTCTGCCTTCCAGTAACATGCTTGTCTGAAACTTACTAAACTCCTCTTAGGCAATACTCTGCTCAGAGAGTCATGTGTTTAATTGTAAAAATCTGTCAGTATCATAGGATTCAAAAGACATCAATCATTTATGTCAACAAGGAAAGAGTGAGGGCTGTGTGACTCTTCTATCATTAGGAAAAGATGTGCTCAAGAGACAAAAATGTGGTCTAAGGAGGGCTGAGCAACTGTAGGTTACAGGAAAACTGAGTTCCAGACTATAATTTGGCCCCCCTCCCCTAATTTGGACTGGTATATTATATTTTTCATTTCATGCAATGCCATGTGTGCAGTAAGACATTATGTAACTTGGTCAGTCGCAGTTGTGTAATATCCACTAAATGCTTTAAAGTGGCTGACGTTATTAGCAGTTTGGTGCATGGGGAGGCCATTGCTTCCCCTGGCTTTGGCGGGATGCAATATCGTGTAATGAGGTTGGAACTGGCCTATATTCAAAATTACATTCCCAAAGGGCTGCTATTCAAGCCACATGACAACTGGTTCTCTTTTTCTTAAGACTTTATTCTAAGTGGACTGAAAACAGCAAAATTGCCGTGTTTGAACGGTTCCATAGGTGGAATGGGTCTTTTCCCTGTTTTGCTCCCAATTTATTATTTTATGCTAAGATTTCTGAATTATAACCAGTTTTAGAGACATCGGGACACAAATTCCCGTCCCCCTCCATCTAAGCTGTGTGACCTCGGGCTGGTTCTGAGCCTTCATTTCCTTACCTGTAAATTGGCGATAACACTTCCCTAAGGAGGTGCAAGAAGGCTTATAAAGACTCCAGCAAAGCTCCAGTCTCTTAATTATGTCACCTCAGGCAAGTTATTTAGCCGTTTGATTTGCTGATTCCTTACTTATAAGTTGGACCAGTTGTGGCTACTATCCGCAGTAGTCGAAGAATAGATATCATAGGCAAAGCTCCGGGAAAGGTGGCTGGTCCTTGGCGGCTCGAGAGGACCTGATAATGGTCCTAATAGCGAGCATTCCCTAGGGTGATGCGGTCGAGTTATGAAACTTTGGGAAAAGAGAACAAGGAACGCGGGCGATCAGAGGCCCAGTCGCGAGACCTGCCCCGCTGGGGCCTCCAGCCGGCACCGCGACGCCCCGGGACCTGGCACCGCCTCGCTCCACCCCTGCGAATCCGGGGCGAATCCGGGCGGAGAGTTCCTGCCGGCCGCGCAGCGCAGAGCCCCCTCCGGCCCGCCCTCTCTCCCTCCCTCCCGCTGAGCTCCAGCTGTGCCAGAGGCACCCGAGCCCTGAGAGTCCGCCGCCAACGCGCAGGTGCTAGCGGCCCCTTCGCCCTGCAGGTAGGAGCCGCGCCGAGACCCGGATCACCGGGCGCCCGTGGGAGCCGGGTTTCCACTGCCCTCGCCCTCCGTCCCTCCTCCGCCCAACCTGGGCAGCTGGCCGCTCCCCGCCCAACTTGGACGGGATTTCAGCGAGTGAGTCGGCGGCGGACTCCCTAGCGATCCCCAAGGGCCTCCCTCGCACGCCTTCGGGTGGAATTCCTGCAGGGTGAAAGCTGACAACTCTGGCACGCACTTTTGCCGCGCGGGCGGCTGCCTGGAGCGCAGAGCCGCGCAGGCTCAGGCTGAAGCCCAGGCGTCCTCTGCAGGATGCACCGCCTCGCCGCCACAGGGCTTCGGGTGCAGTGTGTGTGGTGTCCCCAGGTCATCCGGGCGCCCTTGGTTCGGGTGCGCGGTGGCATGACTGGGCTGGTGGGGGCGATGGGACCGGCATCCCGTACCAACCAGGAAGTGCCGCGTCCCAAGGCTTCGAGCCCAGCCCGCAGAGCACGGTCCTGGGGGTGTGATCACAGCTGCTGACCGCGGCTCCCGCCGTGTGATGTGACCACTCGGAGGTGGGGCGAGGGGGCCGGGGGCCAGCAGCAGGGAGTGTGTAAAAGGTCTTCTTCCTCACAATACGATTGAAGGTGTTTGGGACGTAGGGCTCAGATCCAGGAGTGCCGTCCTCCAAGCCTTCCATAGGATTTTGTGACGCCCTTGAGAACCGCCCTTGTAGACTCAGTCCTGAACTACCGCCACGCCTGTATTTGCTCCTCCTCATCTCGGATTATTGCTTTCTTTACTTCCTCTGTGAAGCACTAAATACTAGTAGCTTTTTAAGAACAGACCACAACAGTTTCTTCGTTTGACCATTACTAAGTCTGCCTCCAAAATGGGGAGTTCCGTTAACTTTATCAGCCAGCCCTGCCAATTTTAGTTAAGATAAGCCTTCGTGGGCCTCCAAAGGCCTCTGAGAGACTAGGTACCCAGAGACCTCTGAGGTATGTTAAATGGTTTAGTTCGTGGTGGTGCAATGAAAACTTAAAGAAGGAAAGGAATCTGCAATTTGAACTGTTAACAGACCCCACATTTACACACTGCCTATTTGAATAAGAATCTCTTTCAGTATTAAATGTTTTGTGACACACAAATGAATTTGTACACAGTCTTTTAGCTTGAATTTGTAGACAGCCTTTAAATGTTGTTTGGGGATCTTTGGACTAATTGTATAAGCGCTCAGTCTGGCTTCTCAAGAACCAGTACAGTTAACAATCCATATAAAAAGTTGGAGTGCTGCCTGGGCGCGGTGACTCACGCCTGTAATCCCAGCACTTTGGGAGGCTGAGGCGGGCAGATCACCTGAGGTCAGGAGTTTGAGACCAGCCTGGCCAACATGGTGAAACCCCGCCTCTACTAAAAATACAAAAATTAGCCAGGCGTGGTGGCACACGCCTGTAATCCCAGCCACTCGGGAGGCTGAGGCAGGAGAATCGCTTGAACCCGGGAGGCGGAGGTTGCAGTGAGCCGAGATGGAGCCATTGCACGCCAGCCTGGGCGACAGGGCAAGAATCTGTCTCAAAAAAAAAAAAAAAAAAAAAAAAAAATTGAATGCTAAGGCTTTGAGGAAAAAGTGTCTTTACAATGTTTGTCCCTGATGACAGAATAATTATGAACTATAGTAAGCGCTGTACAATGCTCATTTAGGTTTGTAGACTTACTTATAACCAGGTAGTGGGGAACCCGGCTTCTTGGAAGTTGTATGTTTACTTAGTGTTTCTTAATTAAAATTACAAATTTTATTTACCTTTAACTCTTATAGGTAACTTTTATTTTTGTTACAAAGGAAAAGTAGGACTGTCATTATTATTATTATTATTATTTTTTGAGACGGAGTCTCGCTCTGTCGCCCAGGCTGGAGTGCAGTGGCGCGATCTCGGCTCACTGCAAGCTCCACCTCCCGGGTTCACGCCATTCTCCTGCCTCAGCCTCCTGAGTAGCTGGGAAAACAGGCGCCTGCTGCCACGCCCGGTTGATTTTTTGTATTTTTAGTAGAGACGGGGTTTCACCGTGTTAGCCAGGATGGTCTCGATTTCCTGACCTCGTGATCCGCCCGCCTCGGCCTCCCAAAGTGCTGGGATTACAGGCGTGAGCCACTGCACCCGACCCTATTTTTTTTTTTTAATAATTTGAAATTTTATTTTAGATACAGGGGGTACATGTGCAGGTTTGTTACATGGACATACAGCATGCAGCTGAGGTTGGGGGTACAACTGGTCCCGTCACCCAGGTGGTGAGCATAGTACCTGATAATTTTTTAACTTTTGCTCTCCTTCCTCCCTCCCACGTCTAGTAGTTCCCAGTGTCTATTGTTGCCGTCTCTATATCCATAAGTACCCAATGTTTACCTTCCACTTATTAGTGAAAACATGCAATGTTTGATTTTCTGTTCCTGCATTAATTTGCTTAGGATAATGACCTCCATCCGCATCCATGTTTCTACAAAGGACACGATTGTGTTACTTTTTATGGCTGCATGGTATTCTATGATGCATATGGACCACATTTTCTCTTATCCGGTCCATAGTTGATGGGCATCTAGGCTGACTCCATGTCTTTGCTATTGTGACTAGTGCTGTGGTGAACATATGAATTTGTGTGTGTTTTTGGTAGAACAACTTATTTTCTTTTGGATATATACCCAGTAATGGGGCTGCTGGGTTGAATGGTAGTTCCGTTTTGAGTTCTTTGAGAAATCTGCAACTGCTTTCCACAGTGACTGAACTAATTTACGTTCCAACCGACAGTGTATAAATGTTCTCTTACAGGATGTTTTTTTAAAAAATTTTTTTTCTCTTATAATTTCACTTTTGTTGTGGTAAAATATGTACAACATAAAATTTACCATTGTAGCCATTTTTAAGTGTACATGTAGTGGCATTAAATACATTCACATCGTTGTGCTACCGTCACCACCATCCATCCACAAGACTCTTCATCTTTCTTACAGGGTTTTAATAACATTTTAATGATAATGGTTGTGTTGCAGGCTTTAGTTTTATCACTAAGCAAGGTTTGAGTTCCTTCTCGTAGCTTTAGAGAAATGCACCTTTTAAACTTTTTTTTTTGAGACAGGGTCTCACTCTGTTGCCCAGGTTGGAGTGTAGTGGCACAACAGCCTTGACCTCCTAGGCTCAAGTGATACTCCCATCTCAGTTTCTGAGTAGCTGGAACTAGAGGTGCGCATCACCATCCTTGGCCAGTTTTGTTTGTATTTTTATAAAGATGGCGTCTCACTGTGTTGCTAGGGCTGGTCTTGAACAGCTGGGCTCCCGCAATCCTCCTACTTCGGCTTCCCAAAGTGCTGGATTACAGGCATGAGCTACCATACCCAGCTGAGAAATGCACTTTTAAAAGAGAAAAGGTAAAAAGCCATAGCCAGACTGTTTAACAAATCTTATCTACAGCAGGAAAGACCTAATACATTACTGTTTGAGGATAAGCTTGTGATGTATTTAAACTTGTGTCTAAGGGTATTGTGGGGTTTAGCTGTCAAGAGGAAGGAACACGTAAGGGAATTATTGTTATTGATCATTTCCTCTCCTGAGTATCTATCAGAAAAATAACAATTGTCAGTGTTGTCCTCTATAGCAGTGCAAATAGTACCTATCTAAACTATGCTTGAGCTCAGGTAGTGTTGCCTTTTTAGTAACTAAAAGCAGTGTGTAGCAATTTCCTGTCCATCCCAGATGTTTACTAAAGATTGATACTAGGGGACCCAACACATAAGATATGTCTCTTTAAACTTGTAGTTAGGCTGAGTCATTGTGTTCACAAGAAAAGCTGTAGCTCTGCAAGGTCTGGTTTTGTGTTTACAATCCTTTAAGTCTTAGCACCACAAAATAAAATGTATTTGCTAGGGTGTGGCTAAAAGTTGTTGCAGGGTTAAAATGAGAAACATGTAAACCTAACTTTCCCATAAGCCTGTGACATTTCTGATTACAAAGAGAATCATACAAATCGCATCTTATGCTTCAGTGGGAACACATTCCAGTGTGTTAGTTTCCCTAAATTCACAGTGCAGTGTAAAATCTGGACCCCAGCTGTTTTAGTGCTGGGTTATTAAGCAAAAGTGTATGTTACGTAAGTGTTTCATAGTGTCACAGTGTTTTTTTTCTGTTGTGAAACTTTCTTAATTTTTAAATTTATTGAGCAAACATTACAACGACAGAATAAAATGAATTATTTATTTAATAAACACTTACGTGGTGTTTACTTTGTGCCTTGCACTCATCTAAGCATTTTACAAACATGAATACATTTAACCCTCAGAACAACCCTGTAAAGTAGGTAATCTTATTATGGCCGTTTAATTTATTTATTTATGTTTGTTTTACTGTATTTTATTTTGTAGAGATGAGGTCTTGCTATGTCACCCAGGCTAGTTTCAGACTTCTGGGTTCAAGTGGTCCTCCTACCTTGGCTTCCAAACGTGCTGGGATTCACAGGCATGAGCCACTGAGCCTGGCCTATGCCCATTTTATAGATGAGGCAGTTTGAGGCATAGTGAGATCCCACAACTAGCACATGGTAGAGCTGGGGATCCATCCCAGGCAGCTTGCACCCAGAGTTTTGACACTGCTGTCTGTCTAGAAAAAAACATAACCTGTGATTCCATCCTCTTAACAAACTTTTTTTTAGGTTTTTTTATTTCCATTTCGTCCTTGTTCTTTGACATAATTGCAATTATAGTGCAACTCAGACAATCTGTTCAAGTCCTTTATTTTTCGGAAAACGAAATTAAGGTGGAGCATGGGTATGTCAAAGGGTAGAAGCACTGGGGCAGGGTCCTGGAGATCCTCTGCTGGGCCAGGCCTTAACTCCTGATTGTGAGGAGATTGGGCCAGGGATCCTGGGAGAGTCTGGGAGGCCAGGTGTATTTGGAAGGGGTTGGGTGTTATGTGCAATATTTCCAGAGGGAAGCATTTCAATATTTTAATAATTGTTATGACCATACTAGAGCTAATCTGCTAAATAAGGGCCCACATTATGGCCGACTGGGTCATGGCAGGTCTTGCTTCCTAGGGCTCCAGAATCCTGGATTGCTTCCCCCGTTGCTCCTAATGCCCGTGACCCTCAGCTCCCCTCTGGATGAGGGCAATATTTTATTCTGTACTCAATCATTTTTTGAACTTTTTGGATCTAGAGTTGGGAACCTTTTGGAAGCCTCTGACGCACAAAAGAAAACCAGCCAAAAGCAACATGGAAATAAAAATAACTTAGTTTAGTCAGTTCTTTTGTTAAGAAAGAGAGAGAGAGACTTCTGAGGCCATAAACTTATGAACTTTATATTAAGAACAGGAAAATAAGGGTTCAGAATTTAACAGTGATCTTTTTCAAAGTAGGCTTTTACAGATGGCACATTTAGATGAAGGAGAATAGGAATAAACATGGGGAAAAGGAAAGCCGTAGAAAGGGAGGGGAGAAACAAATGCAGAGACGAGGCATTGGCAGAGGGCCACAGATAGGAAGCAGGGAGCTAATACCTTTGTCAATTCTTTACAAAAAGCCTTGCATCTCAGTGTGTTACCACTGGATGATGCCTTCAAAATCTCATAAGCAGTTGGAGATGATCTTTCCTTTGGTTTATCTTGATGGGATCTTAATGTTTAAACTGTTGCTAATCAACAAAGCATGTGGACAATAAGATACAAGGGAACTCTTAGCCCCTGATTGGGATCTTCATAACAGTCTAGTCTAGTTTGGTTTATGCCACTTTCCATGGGTGGATTTTATATGTAGTGTGATATTAGAATCACTGGATTTGCCATTATTTTTTCTATTGTCTGTCTTCCGTGTGAGAGGGCAAGGTCCTTGAGGTCACAGACTGTGTTTTTGTCATTTTTGTGTCTCCAGTGTCCATTGTAGTGTACAATAGATGTGAACTGAATGAAAGGGTACATGGATGAAGGGAGAAGGTGTAATCCATTTTATTCAAAATACATAGGTATTTCCAGAAAATAAGTCTTTATAATTAACGTTTTACTTATTTATTTGCTCTATGGTGCCATTTAACTATTCTTAAAAATAAAATGTGTAGATGTAGAATGGACAGTCTGTGGCATTTTGGGTAAACAGCTGTACTCACTTCATTGATCTTTTTCTGCCCAATTTCTGATGAAGGAGTCCTTTGAAATAAAGAGTTTGAGTAGGTAGCCATGGGTTGGGATTGGAGATTTATGACTTGGAGCAGAAAAACATTTCCAGATGTGTAGGGCAGTGGTCCTCTGAAGATACAGACCCAAAAGTGAGAAATTTAACCAAAGGGGCTAAGAATAGGAAAAAAAAATGAAGATGATGTTTTAGATATTGTTTTTTAAATGTCACCATTATTCCTGCTTTGGAATAAAAAGAGGTAAGAGGTAAGGTAGGAGTACAGAATTTGGGGATGAAGTATATTTTTGGCACTAACATCACTGTGATGTTAAAACTATTTTTAAAAGATAATAAATACCCACACCTCTGACTTACTAATTATTTTACTAAATTTATTGCTCTCTATGCTATTTATGTTTATTATTTCTATATGGTGAAAATACTGTAACTATTGCACGTCTTCCCCAAACTGTATGTTCTAGTGATATCATGTTGGTAACTTGGAAGCGGCCATGATAGGAATTTCTTTTTTTGAGACAGAATTTCACTCTTGTTGTCCAGGCAGGAGTGCAATGGTGCTATCTCAGCTAACTGCAACTTCCGCCTCCCAGGTCCAAGCGATTCTCCTGCCTCAGCCTCCCAAGTAGCTGGGATTACAGGTGCATACCACCATGCCAGGCTTATTTTGTATTTTTAGTAGATACAGGCTTTCACCATGTTGGTCAGGCTGGTCTTGAACTCCTGACCTAGTGATCCTCCTGCCTTGGCCTTCCAGGAATATTTACACCATCGAAATTGGCAAACACTACAGTTAGGGTTTCTCCTCCACCCGGACCTGGTTGCTAAGCATTTCTCAGCACACCACTGGCTTTGCCCAGGGGGTATATCCGAGCTTCTCCACCCCATCTTTCTTTCTCATTATGACCAAAGAGATTTCTCCTGCACTTTTCTGTCAACCGTCACAGTGATTCTGAATTTGGGGATGTGGTTGGGGAGAAAGGAATACGCTTAGTTATGCAATGTTCTTATCTCTCTGTGCCTATGATCTGGTCTGGTACAAGTCTCAACTGCATTCAATTTAACCCTTGATTCTTCCTTTTGTAGAGATAGAATTCTCCCTGCAACCTCCTGAAGAGCTGGCCTTCCCTCCTTCTCCATCACAGTAGTTCCAAAGTCTGGCTAAACAAAATCACCTGGGAACTTCTTAAAATACAAATTTCCAGGTTCTATCACATATGTAATAAATTTAGATTCTTGAGGAATGGGACTCAAAATAGTATTTTGTAAGTTCCCTTGGGAGTTTGATGATCACCCCATGTGCCTTCTGGGCCCCTCTTGTGGGCTCTTGCTCTCCAGCCCTGGCACCTGTGTACCTTGCTTAGAATCAGGTCATCTGGGCTGCTGGACCCTGGCCACATTGTATGGTAGCCTCGATTTTTATGTTTGAACTCAAATTCTGATCCTGTGAAACTTGGTAATCAGGGGCCACTCTTTGCCCCATTGGCCTGATTTCTCATGCTCATTCATTGGAGCCTGGGTTTCTAACTAGGAAGGCAGCTAGCGTGTTGCAGGGAGACTATCAGAGGAGTCAGGTGTGCTAAGTTTCATTTCTACTTTAGCGTCTGTGTAACCTTGATCAACTTGTTTCTCACCTTTCTGAACTACAGTTGCCTATCTCCAGAGTTTGTTAGGAAGGTTGTTTTTAGAACACATCAAGCTTTGTTCCATCTTAGGGCCTTTTAATCATGCTATTCCCTCTGCCTGGAGCACACTTCTCCTAAGTCTTTGCATGGCTTCCTTCTTTTTTGTCATTTGGATCAATGACAAAATGGTCAAATGTTATCTCCTTGGAAAGGTTTTTTCCCTGACCATTGAAAGCTGCCTCACTTCACAGTCCACATTGCATTGCTTGCTACCTGATCCTGTTCCAGCCTTTCACCTAGGGTTATTTTCATGCTAGGATTCACCACTATCTGAAATTCTTTTTCTTTTCTCTTTTTCTTGCTTACTGGGTTTTCTACACAAGAACTTAAGCTTTATGAGAGTAGGGACTTTCCTGACATGTAGTAGGTGCTCACTAACTACTTGTTGAATGACTACCTTTCCAAGTTGTTATATAAATATATGATGTTAGTGTGAACCCTGGTTCCCAAGGGATTCATTTGTTTTCCTAATTGTTCTTTTCTGACCTCACAGATGTTGCTGTTTTTATGACAATGATTCATTGCTGAGATATTACTGCAATTTGGAACAAAGTGCTGCTCTCAACTGATGAGAAATAAAATCTGTAGCTTTCTATGTGAATGCCTCCTGTCGTTTTCAGAGAGCTTGCAAAAACTTGTTTCAGTTGCATCTGTCATGTGGGTGTATAATCTGTGATAGAATGGATCGATTAAACATGAAAGTATCGTAACATAAATGAGACTGATTTGGGGAAACTCCTGTTTCCTACCTTTTTTGAGTTCTACCGGGGTGGTTTTTGGTAGTGTCATGGGGACTAGGGAAATGTGTATCACTTTGTAAGAAAGGCAGGCCATAGGCTGGGCACAGTGGCTCATGCCTGTTATCCCGGCACTTTGGAAGGCTGAGGCAGGTAGATCACTTGAGGACAGGAGTTCAAGACCAGCCTGACCAACACGGTGAAACCTCATCTCTACTAAAAATACAAAAATTAGCTGCGTGTGGTGGTGAGTGCCTGTAATCCTAGCTACTTGGGAGGCTGAGGCAGGAGAATTGCTTGAACCTAGGAGGTGGAGGTTACAGTGAGCTGAGATCGTGCCATAGCACTCCAGCCTGGGTGACAGAGCGAGACTCCGTCTCAAAACAAAAACAAGAAACAAAAAGAAAGGCATGCCAGAAACGCATGTTGGATATGTTCGTCCTGTCTGATCTCACCAGATACACGGGGTAGGTTTGACTGACAGTGAAGTAATTTTTGCAGATCCATTGCCTGGAAGGCCAATAAAGTTGGCAGTGAAAGCTTTCATCCTGTATTTGCAATAGCCCCTCTTCAGGATGGTGTTGAAGAATTTATCAAGCACAGAGTCTTTTTGGTGCTAACACAGTACTAGGCCTAGGCTAGTGAGTCTAAAATGTGGTTCCAGCCCCACAGCTTATAGTCTAATGCAGTCATCCAAAGGCAGGACTGAATTGTGCAGCAGAATCCTGCCAGGCCTCCTGAAATGGGCTGGCTTTTATAATGATTGTATGTTCCAATTTTCCTTGATAGTGATTTTCAAACTGCTTTGTTTCAGGGCAGTACAGTGGTATGAATATTTGTCTTCCTCAAATTCATATGTTGAAATCCTCACCCCAAGGGGTGATGGTATTAGGAGGTGAGGCCTTTAGGAGATGATTAGGCCATGGTGGCTCTGCCCTTATCAATGAGATTAGTGCCTTTATAAAAGAGGCCAGAGAGGGACCTCTGACTCTCTTCACTAAGTGACGGGTTAGTGAAAAGGCAGCCTCTGGGGAAGCAGGCCTTCACCAGACACCAAATCTGCAAGCACCTTGATCTTGGACTTCCTAGCCCCCAGAACTGTGAGAAGTAAGTTTCTGTTGTTTATAAGCCACCTAGTCTATGGTATTTTGTTACAGTAGCCTGAGTGGACTAAGACAGGTGGCTGGCATTGGAGTAGAGATTGGGTCCAGGGATGTAGACAGCAGACTTCTGGAGCATCTCTAAATACCACATTTAATCAGAGCATCTCATTTAGAAAACATACTATTGTATATTTGCCTTTTAAAAATTATGTTTGGGCCAGGCACGGTGGTTCATGACTGTAATCTCAGCACTTTGGGAGGCCAAGGTGGGTGGATCACTTGAGATTAGGAGTTTGAGACCAGCCTGGCCAACATGGTGAAACCGCATCTCTACTAAAAATACAACAATTAGCCAGGTGTGGTGGTGCACACCTGTAATCACAGCTACTTGGGAGGCTGAGGCAGGACAATTGCTTGAACCAGGGAGACGGAGGTTGCAGTGAGCCGAGATCACGCCACTTCACTCCAGCCTGGGCAACAAAGCGAGACTCCATCTAAAAAATAAAAATAAAAAATAAAGAAGTAAAAATTATGTTTGTTTTAGATTTGCAGAAAAGTTGTGATGCTATTATAGCGAGTTTCAAAGGAGTACACAGTTTCCTCTATTATTAACATCTCACATAGGTATATGATACATTTGTTATAATTAATGAACAAATATAGATGCATTATTAAGTAAAACCTGTATTTATTTAGATGTTCTCCCATGTCCTTTTTCTATTCCAGTATCTTGCCCAGGATACCATGCTGCATTTCATAGTTGTGTCTCCTTGGGCTCCCTTGGTTATCATGGTTGCTCAGACTTTCCTTGTTTTTGATGACCTTGATAGTTTTGAGGGGTACTGGTTAGGTATTCTGTAGAATGTCCCTCAGTTGGGATTTTTATGATGTTTTTCTCAGGATTAGATTGGGATGATGGGTTTGGGGAGGGAGAGGACAGAGGTAAAATACCATATTTATTACATCGTATCAAGGGTACATACTATCAGCATGACTTATCACTGGTGATGTCCACTTTGATCACCTCACTGAAGTTGTGTGTGTAATGTTTTCCATTGTAAAGTTACTTTTTTCCTCCCTCTCCACACTGTACTCTTTGGAAAGAAGTCACTGTGCACAACCCATACTTTTGGGAGTTATGCTGTACCTCCTAGAGAGGGGGAAATGTCCTAAAAGGATTTCATTCCCTTTACTTCCTTTAATGTTATAGATTTTCTTTTGTATGTCATTAATTTTGGTCTAAAATAGAAAAGTAGTACACTTAGGTGGCCTTGTTTCACTTCTGTGCTAGTTCACAAACACAGAAACACTTTAGAAAGTAGTTTTAGTTGCAGGCAAGTCCTTCTTTTTTTTTTTTCCTCTTTTTTTTTTTTTTTTTTTTTTTTTAGACGGAGTCTCGTTCTGTTGCCCAGGCTGGAGTGCAGTGGTGTGATCTTGGCTCACTGCAACCTCCACCGCCTGGGTTCAAGCAATTCTCCTGCCTTAGCCTCCTGAGTAGCTGCGATTACAGGCTCGCACCACCACCCCCGGCTAATTTTTGTATTTTTAGTAGAGACAGGGTTTCACCGTGTTGGTCAGGCTGGTCTTGAACTCCTGACCTTGTGATCCACCTGCCTCGGCCTCCCGAAGTGCTGGGATTACAGGCATGAGCCACCGCGCCTGGCCTGAGTCCCTCTTTTTAAATGAAAGTTGTGGGCAGACAATTATGCTCAGAGACCAGATAATCTGGTCGAAGGGACCAGAATGATGCCCCCAAATCAGGTGTTGGTTAGTGGCTTAGTGTGCGGTAGGCTACCCATGAAACCTTTGTGCTCCGATGCCTGACTGAGGACACAGTCCTCCTAAAAAAGAGTGTGAGGCCCATCCCAGCATGGCTGACTCTCTAATGGCCAAGTTCTTTTGGGCCTGTGTGTGGCTTAGCTCTCAGGACGGTCAGGTAATATGTCCAGAGCTGGGCCTTGGGACCTGGCTAGACAGACCTGAAGAGTTTTCTGTTGCAATCAAATAAAGGATAACAATATTAATTTGGAACATGTTGAGAAGACATTGTTGTAATTAAGCACAAGTTAAGCATACATAATAAGCACTTCACATAATTGATTAGAATTATTTTAACACAACCAAAGCAAGATCCAAAAATTCAAAACAAAAATTCAATTCTCAGTCTTTCTCTCTTTCTCATGCTAGTGACCATTATTGACACTGTCACCTGATTTCACCTAGAATTTATTTCTCAATTTACTTGATATTCTCTAAGTCATAGCACTTAATATGATGACTTCTGTACAGCAACAGTTTCCTTACGCCTGATTTCCTAGGGCCAAGGACTCAAGGAGTCTGTAAAATTTGACCATAATTTAAAATTGGTCATATGTTCGATGAGTAGGAGAGTTGATGTGAAGCAAGGGAGGTATCATAGCCCCAGCCTAGAAAGGTCTCTAGACCCTTTGCTCTGTGATGCAAAAATGGTTTAGAATTCCTTTAGTAGAGAATGTGTAAGTGATTGTAATTCACTGAGCACTCCCTTATCATTTAGTTCTGTATCCCACAGCATTTTAATCAGTCTACTTTGATCCTGTCCGACTCACTTTCCTGCCATTGCTGGTTATATAATAGGACAATCTTACTTAAGTAGCGGTGTTACCTGGATTCAGTGGCCTGAGAATTTTTTCCTTCCCTTTAATGTTTCTTTAGGTTTCACATTTTAAGGGTCAGTGACACTTAACTGTTATCTATTGTTTCACAGATGAGTCATAGAAAAATGGAAAATGAGTTTGAAAATTATCCTCACAGGACAGCCATCGTGAAACTTACAAGGAAAAATGGCACTTAGGGAGTAATAAGTCTCTAAAAAATTCTAAAGATTGAGGGAAAAAAAAATTAACCCTCAAAGAATTTAGCCAACTTCAGTCAGTTTTAAATAAGAGGCCCAAAATAAACAAGTGAGAAATTTGAAAACTTCATTCACATTAATACATGCCAGCTTTTTTCATATTATTAGGATATTTGCATATATTTTGGTCAAAAGCTGCTTACTTAAAAATATGTATTCAGAAGAAAAATGTCCATAATATGCTATAGTATTTTTTTTTTAAAGACAACCTTCTAAGTTTGCCTCTGAAATTATCCTGGGAGCAACTGCCCTCTGGGGATTCATGGTCTAGTGCAGTGGTTCTCACACTCTACTGTGCACCAGAATCCCTGGAGGGCTCAGGAGAACACAGAGGGCTGGGCCTCACCCTAGAGTTTCTGATTCAGTAGGTCTGGGCTGGGCAGAGAATTTGCAATTCTAACAAGCTCCGAGATAATGCTGATGCTGCTGGTTTGGGGACTACAATTTGAGAGTCACTGATCTAATGGTTTAGCTGACACATCAGTAAACACAATTCAAAGATTAAATGCTGTGAAATAAGTACAAGTAACATGCAATGGGAAACAGGGTGTGGAGAGGTGGGGCAATAGATGAGTGAACAACTACAGATCGGAGAAGCCATATGGAAGCAGAAAGGTTAAGCAGGATTTCGAAGCCTTGGCAGGTAGGGCATTTTGGAGATGACACTCTACTGTTGGGAGGGAGAGTGCAGAATGTATATGGGAGTGGGAGTATAGCCTAGCACAGGTGGAGAGTAAGGGTGATGTGAGGGGAGGAACAACCATGAACAGGTGGAATTAAGAATGAGAGAGCTGGAAAGTTAAACTAACATGTTCTTGGTTTTTGGAGTTTGGCAGCAAAGGAAAAGCATGATCAGAGCTATGCTTAAGAAGGGCAGCTCTGGCATTGCGACGGATGGTGCAGGAAGAGAAAGAGTGATTTTGGGAGAATCAGGAATTATTGAGGCAGCCCCATCCAGAAGCAAGGATAGGCTGAAGAAGAGCATGAAGATGGGAGGGATACAGTCATGTGATGCATCTGTAGCAGAAGCCACAGATTTGGTAGTTGATTGGTTCCTGAAAATGAGAGAGAGGGAAGAGTCAAGGGAGAGTGAGGATTCAAAGTCTGAATTGTTGGTGAAGAGTGTTGGTAATGGCTGGATCTCTCAGAAGAAATAATGGATAAGAAAAAGAACCTCCTGGGCCTTGGTTTCTTCAGGAGAGGAGTGGACTAGATACTCTTAAAGGTTTCTTTGTAATTGTAATTAAGGGTTTGAGGGTTTTTGGTTGTCTGAAATATGATAGAACACAGTAGTACAAAAAGTTAATGGCTTATGTATAACAGGCATTCGTATATTTGTTGATTAGTTGATCCATGACAATCATTAGCTCTGAAATAGTTACATCTGCAAATAGTCTTCTTTCTCAGCTCTTCATTTTGCTATGGTTTTCTTAGTATGTTGACTTACTCTTCCTCCCATTTTATAAACTATGAATATCAACCTTTTTTTGATATGTGCTCTATGTATATATTTTAAACAAGTACAGCAGGTAATTTAAACATCTCTTTGGCTATTTCTTACATCATAATAATCACACCATATATGGAGATATTTATACACAACTCTGTCTTTCCCACTGGATCATAAACTCCTTTTGGGTAAGGGACATATCTTACTCATTTTCGTCTTCTTCACTGCACTCATCGTAAATACTTACAAAAAGTGGACAGCAAATGTTTGGGGAACTGGATTGAATCATTGGGTAAGAGTAAATTACTATCTGTTCTTTTGGGAGAGACCAATGTCTCAGACAATAAAGAGCAATAGTTTAAAGGGAAATGGAAGTCCATATATCCTAGGAAGTAGAAAGAGGAAACACATTTAATTCAGTAGACTCTCAAAACTAGAATAGAGATATTCATGGACACTTTAGGGACTAGAAGCAGAAGCCCATAAAAAGTAGCACAGTGTTTAGCTCTATCTAAATTAACTATTGAAAACCTTGGGCCAGACCTTTCCATTCTGGGCCTCAATTTTCTCCTTTGTAATATTGAGGTTGTACTAAATTACAAAGTTTTAGAACTCTCTGAACACCCTTTTGGGAAGAATTCTAAGCAGAGGGAATAGCATGAGTAAAACACAAGAAATGGGTAAGAGTATGTGTGTTCTTTGTGACTGGGTGTGATGTGCTAGGAAATTAAGCAGGAATGGCAGGTGGAGGCCTTGTTTCAGAGGGCCATTTCTCCTAAGATAAGGAGCCTGGACCCACCCTATGATGATAGGTGGTGTCTTGTGCAGAGATTTGTGCCAGGTGGTTTAATTGGGAATGGCATCCAGGGAGCAGGGGTGAAAGACCAGAGACAGTCATCTAGGGAAGGAGGCAATGGTAATACAAGGAACCAATATTGGAGCATCATTGCTATAGGCAGCTGGTTGCTTTATTCCAAGAGATTATCTGAGAAGTTTTATGAAATGCACTCAGCACAGTTTATGTAGAGAAAAAAAGGGAGAAGCTTTTATCCATGTTTCTTGTCTCCCATTGAATAAAGGCGGCCCCACTTCTGGATTGCACATGTATGACTGCCAGGTTCCCATGGGCGACACATGAAACAGCAACAGAGGAGTCTAGGGGTGAGTGGGCCTGTCAGTTTGCACTTGTGTGAAGCTGGTTAAATTCTTCATGGAACTGGTTGCGATGGCAATGCAGGAATAAGAAGCAAGTTTGAGAGGATTTGAAGTAGTCCGTAAAAGGAGGCCAATGAAGGGAGCTATTGAGAGATTTTAAACAAAGGAACACCTAATCAGAATGATATAATGGTGTGCTTGTAAGTGTTTAACAACCAGCTCTCCAGAAAATGTGCATGCGCATATGTCTATTATAAATTGTACTGATACAAAAGATGTGTTGCACACAATTACAAGTAGTAATAAAATACTCTTTATCATTAAATCTATATAGCTAATTGATTTAGACAGATTTCTGTTGGTTTTTTTTGAACTCTTGTATCCATAGCCTAGTCATGGTTACAATTGATGAAAGAACATATTGATATTTTCTTTTTATATTATTGTATAATTTGAAAGTGAAGCAGCAAAGGTGTATCCCAAAACTTTACTTGTTCAGGGAACATCTTCTTTATGAATTGTCCAGTACTTTTTTTTTTTAATACTAGAGGAATATTTCCTCAGTTTTTTGTTTTATTCACGATGTAACTACTACAAGCACCAGGCATTTTATTAACATTTTCTCTATCACCTCCTAAGGCCTAGACAATTAGCAAAACAGAAACGATGTGATTATAGTGTTTGTCAATTTCAGTATGAAACTACCCTCATCATGGCCAGTATCAAGTTATGGTGAATTGGGAAAAGATGCACGGTAGAAGCACAACACAACATTATGTAGTCTTTTCACATCCAGTAGTCTCCCCTCATCCAAGGGGGATATGCCCCAAGACCCCCAATGGATGCCTGACATCTCAAACAGTACTGAACCCTATACACGCTATGATTTTTTTCCCTATACATACATACCTATGATAAAATGTAATATATAAATTAGGTACAGTAAGAGATTAACAATAACTAATAACAAAATAGAAGAGTTATAATGGTATACTATAATAAAAATTATGTGAATGTGATCTCTCTTTTTCTCTCTCTCTCAAAATATCTTATTGTACAGTACTTTTCTTTTTTTTTTTTTGAGATGGATTCTTGCTCCCCTCGTGTAGGCTGGAGTGCAGTGGCACGATCTCGGCTCACCGCAACCTCCACCTCCCAGGTTCAAGCGATTCTCCTTCCTCAGCCTCCCGAGTAGCTGGGATTATAGGCGTGTGCCACCACGCCCGGCTAATTTTTATATTTTTAGTAGAGACGGGGTTTTGCCATGTTGGCCAGGCTGGTCTCAAACTCATGATCTCAGGTTATCCATGCGCCTCGGCCTCCGAAAATGCTGCGATTATAGGCGTGAGCCACCACTCCCAGCCCCTTCTTGTGATGATGTGAGATGATAAAATGCCTGTGTGAAGATGAAGTGAGGCGAATAACCTAGGCAGTGTGACATAAGTGGAAAACGCCAGAAATAAACAATTCATGTTATAAATTGTGCACCATTCTGAGTAGTGTGATGAAATCTTGCACTCCTCCATTCCATCCTGCCAGCATTGCCAGTCACTCGGTGGCCATCTCTGTGATCAGATTAACAGTGGTTTTATCAGTATCATAGGGCTTATGTTCAAGTAACTGTATTTTACTTAATAATGGCTACAAAGTGCAAAAGTAGCGATATAATATTTTTGGACCATGGTTGACTGCAGGTAACTGAAATTTTAGTTACATGAAACCACAGATAAGGGGGGACTGCACTACACATAAAATAGGCATAAGTAACCTCAAGACAATAGACATTATTAAAATATAGAAAAGTAATAAAGAAGTGATAAATGGAGAACTTTTGCTTTAATATAATTTATTGTAAGTTTATATAATTTAATTTTTAGTAACTTCAATTTTTAATATTTTAATTTTTAATGATTTATGTGTTTAACAACTGACTCACAAAATTGCTGAAAATTTCCCAATCTTGATGAAAATTTCCCAGTCTGCTCTCAGGAGCCTATATGAGCCAGCCCAGAATACCACTGGAGTTATAATTTTAGAAGATTACCTTGGTAGCAATCTGTAGAAATGTTTTGTAGGGGAGCTACAGTAGGGATCAAAAGTGGAGACAGATTACGAAATGTCTTCAGACCCTGCCAGCATGAGGGTTCAAATGATGTCTAGTCAGTGGAGATCACGCAAATTTCACTGGTTTGTGTTCCCACGTGGATCCGTAGGACCTTCAATGCAAGTCTCCTTCAGGTATTCCTGGTGGTATCTTGGCATTGTCTCACATGTGTTTTGAGAGCCCCACTTCCTTGGGGAGTCTTCCGCTTTGGCTTCCTTGTTGATGACCGTGGGCCAAAGGGCTTTGTGTGTGAGGCTCCACCTCAGCCATAGCTGGTGTCCTCCTGAAGAGGATTTATGCCAAAAGGAGTCACATGCCAGGACTTGTTTTTTTCAAGTTTGCAAATCTGGGGGGAGGGTGGGGCTCTAGAAAGATGCTGGAACCTGGTATGTGCCCTGCAGAAATGTCCTTGACTCCTTTTGTCACCAGGAGCCTAAATTTACTGTGTTTCTCTGTGACTCACAGAGGCAGGGGGAAAGACAATCCTCTCCACTTCTTCCTGCAGCTACTTGCTCCATCAGCCTCAGCCAGTCTGGGGCTGGGCAGGGAAACAGGCCCTCTTCCTTCTCCTGGTTTGTCCCCTGGTTTGCTCAGCGAGACCTTCGTGTCTGAGGGCCCCCTTCTCACCTTGCAGATCAGCTGGTGTGGTACTGAATGCCTGATGGATGGCCAGGGGCCCCTGATCCATCTGCATTCCCAGAATATAAGAATCTCATTTGGGGCCACCCAGCCCCCACTACTCTTAGTATATGAAATAAGGTGGAATAGATAAGAGGATGGAACTGGCCCCTGGGTGCATGATGGGGCCAATAACGGAGGTACAGGGTGCATATGTGGCTGGGCTGTGAGACAGGGAAAGAGGATGGAATTGAGATGCAAGGTAGAAAAGCATGACTATGTTCAGTTTGGGACTTGATGAAATAGATACTGGTAGGACAGTTCACTAGGCACTGGGCCTTCAGGAGAAAGAGAAGAAAGGAATGGTGGCATTGGGAGTAGTAAAGCTGTGGGTATGAATGAGTATCTATGAGACTCACCTCCCTGTGAGGACATAGAATGAGGAGACACAGTCTACAGGTAGACTAGGTCGAGTTCAGAAGCCTGAAGAACACCAGTGTTTAAGGGATGGTGTTGGGAAAGGGAGCCAGGCCAGCCAGAGAGGAATGTTCCGGAACTCTGAAAGGAAGGAAATGGCAGGAACAAAGGAGCTGGGGCACAACAGTGGTGACTCACACTGGGAACACTTCGGCCCATTGTGTTTATGCTTATAGTTTCCCAAGTTTATCTTTTCAGGGTTATGATTACGTTAACCTCACCTCCCTCCCTCCCTCTAAAACAAAACAAAAAAAAAGGAGTGAAAGACTCTTCAGTATTATGAATGGCCCCAGGTGAGGAAGACATCTGACACGTTTATATCATGTCAATACTTCGATCCAGCCTTTTACAGTCAGTGTGAGGAGAAAACACATTTACTTGAAGCTAAAGGAATAGGAAGTGTCAGCTTTTTCCTGTTTGATGTTTCTTGTTGTGTTTTCCATATTAATCACTTCATTTTCCCCTTGGTCACAGGCCTGATATTTTTTTCCCTACACATGTCAGCTGCCTAGTGTGTCAGGCAGTTTTTCACCGTGATATAGAGACACAATAGAGCTGGAGCTGGCAAGGTGACTGCCAGAAATGTGTGTCACTCTTGATGGTTATGTTCACGAGCATCCAGAAAGCCCAGTGCTCCTGAACTGAATTATAGGCTTTGAAATGACCATGTGGTTTGCATTCGGCAAAAAAATATACCCCAGACATGTGCAAGGGTTGTTGGTTTGGGGAAAATTAGATGACTCCAACATGAAAAGACAGAGCCTATCTAAAGAGATAGGCTAGTGTGAGGTTTTTTTACAGCACAAATCTGTTGAATAAGTGGATTTGGATGTAACCACAGGCTTGCCATATGAAATTCTATTCCATGGGAATTAAAGTTTGTGGCTTTGTGAAGGCATTTGTTGCAGACTATGAAAAGTTCTCATATTCTTTTGCCAAAACACAGAAACATGGAGAAATACGAAAAAGCTTTTACTGTGGCTGTCTCCTCTAATCCTCTTAAACACTTAATGTGTCCTATGTACATAGCAGTGAAATTAAATACAGCTATTCCTGATAACGTAGCAACTTAGATGTAAAAGTCTACTGCTAAGGGAATAGGAAGACTAAAGAAAACAATTCTTATATCAGTTAGGAATTGTGT
Organism: Homo sapiens; assembly: GCF_000001405.40. Classification (NCBI taxonomy): domain Eukaryota; kingdom Metazoa; phylum Chordata; class Mammalia; order Primates; family Hominidae; genus Homo; species Homo sapiens. Next base: position 171,790,882 of record NC_000003.12, on the reverse strand, counting down.
TTCACTACAAGTATCAGAGCCCCCAGGTAGTGGCTTTATTTCTCATGTATAAACAGTCCAGAAGTAGTCCGTTGGGAGCTGGCATGACGGCTCTAGAAGTCATCAGTCTCTAGAGCTCTCCAATCTGCCACCTCCAGGATGTGGCCCTTGTCTGAGATGGCTGCTGGGGCTCTCAACATCATATTTACATTACAGACAGAGAATAGAGGAAGAGGAGCATGCCAGCTTCCTTTGCAGGCCCTGTCTCATAATTCCAGTACTCCCAATTACATCTCATTGGCCAGAGCTTAGTAACATAGCCACACCTCACTGTGCATCTCTAAATTATCATAAATCTCATTTTTTGAAAAATTAACTCACAATCTTCTCTTCTCCTGGCCATTATTGCAAGAGATTGGGAGAGAGCTAGTACAAGAGTGAGATTCTTTAGTGTCTTTCTGGGTGATTCCACGCCAAGAGGTCTTCCTCTGTGTCCTCACAACAGTAATAACCGTAACATCATGAATCAGTCAGGGTTTACCAGAGATGCAGACTTAGTAGGTTACATGCATTAAGGGATTTATTACAAGGAATTGGCTTCCTCAATTGTGGGACTGGCTAAACAAGCTTGAAATCCACAGGGCAACCAGTCAGGCAGGTAGACCATGAGCAGGCTGGATCCCTGTGAGTGGAGCTGAAGCTTGGAGTCTCTGAATCCAGGGAGGGCCTAAGCCCTCTTTTAAAGGACTTTCAGCTGATTACCTCAGTTCTACTCAGGATAATCTCCCTTTTGACTAACTAAAATCAACTGATTACATACCTTACATCTGCAAAATCCCTTCACAGCAGCAGTAGATTAGTACTTGATTGAATAACTAGGTAAAGGCATGTGTGTACATGCATGCTGCAAAATGTTGCTGTCTCCTTTCTTTTCCCCACCTCTTAGGAGAGAATATCCTTTGACCCTACGTGGAAGCCTACAAGAAGGGGAATTCTGGGCAATGTGGTTCAGCCCAGCCACATCACATACTATTATTTAGTAGTCATGAAGAGAGAGACATAGGTAAAAACAGCAGTTAGTATTTCTTCATTCTGATATCTGGCAGCAAGTGAGTGATGCTACCATTATCGGCTAAAATCAGGAACTGGTATTAATGCATTTTGTTTTGTTTTGTTTTCTGCTTTATTCTCCTCTGTCATAGACAGTGAAGAGTAAGTGAAGAATTTGAGGGTCATCAGCCATTGTGAACTCATCAAAGTTAGTAGCACTTAAAATTTGCTTTTAAAATGAATGGAAAGATGTCCAAGTTTTCAATAGCACAAATATTTTTTTCTCATTTGTACCTTTTTTTTGTCTTTTGTATACAGATATTCCCACTCTGGCCACTGCCCAAAGGGGCTCTTATCTGAGGAATACTGCTGACTTCGTGTACCTAGTTTTACAGAGCCATCTTTCTGAAGCATAAATTAGATTACATTATTCTACAGCTTAAATCCCTCCATGAACTTCCCATCACCCAAGAGTGGATCTGAAACGCCTTAGAGTGTCATTCAAGACCCTTCTGTATGTGGCTGCCATGCATTTTTTTCAACTTTATTTCCAGCCTTGCAATGTACATACATCCATCTCTGTCCCACGCCCTCTGCAGGGCTTTTTGGTTCCAGAACGTGCCATGTGCTTTTCTCCTTTGGAGCTCTTTGAATAGGATGCCCTTCCTCCCTTGTCTGCCTGTAGATAGAAAAATCCTGTGCATTGGTGAGTTGGCCCTGACCACCATTTTCTTAGCATGCTGAATTACTTCTGTTCCCCTCTGTGTTTGCACAGCTTTGTTTGTGCACAGTAGACTTTTGGCTGGGCCATGTAGACTGCCTCCTCCATGAGTTTGCCAGCTTTTTGAGGACAATGTCTGTTTTATTCATCCTCGAATTCTCAGTGCCTAGCAGAGTGCATAGCACAGGGTAGTTATGCAATACATATTGGAGTAAAGGAATACAGTTCAAAAAAACAGTCTCATTAACAGATGCAAACCAACTCCTCTCATGACGCAGAGAATCTAAGCTCAAACAAATTACCAGAGTTGGCAGTTGAAGTACTATATATAGACAGAACTTAATAAATGCTTTTCTTTGTCTTAAGCCTTTGATGACAGTGATGTGTTTTTATGAACGTAGATAACCACAAGCAGATGTGTCAAAGCTCTTTTGTCCAGGAATAAACTGAGTTTCGTCATCATCTTGACAGTACTTTCCTGGATGAGTGTTCAGGAAACATGAAAAGTTTTTAAACAATTCAACAAATGTGTAATAAAAGTTTGTTACCTTGTTTTATTTGTTGTTATATTGTCTCTTGGCTTGAGTTTTTATTTGGGAAGCTAATAGAGAGACGGGATATTAGAAAACCAGAGGCAAACTGCTTGGTTTATTGAAGCACTAACTGAATGAATGCAGGTATACGAGTAATCCAGGAATCCCATGCATTAAGGAAAAATTTATTTCTATCACCTCTGTATTGTTGTTACCTTGTGAACCTGGCTTGGTTTTTTCAGCAGTTGGTAAACTGATAAGCCTGTTTCTCACTCTGTCATTCATCTCATCAGTTTACCAGCCCAGAAATACTCCTTTCAGTCTTTACAAAAAAAAAAAAAAAAAAAAAGAAGTGCAGATGCACTCACAAACACAAAAGTTAATTTATTATTATTTTTTTTTTTTTGAGATGGATTTTTGCTCTTGTCACAAGGCTGGAGTGCAATGACGCGATCTCAGCTCACAGCAACCTCAACCTCCCGGGCTCAAGTGATTCTCTGGAGCAGCTGGGATTACAGGCGTGTACCACCATGCCCAGCTAATTTTTGTATTTTTAGTAGAAATGGGGTTTCACCATGTTGGCCAGGCTGGTCTCAAACTCCTGATCCCAGGTGATCCACCAGCCTCAGCCTCCCAAAGTGCTGGGAGTATAGGCATGAGCCACTGCTGCACCCGGCTGAATTTTTTTCTTGAGGCTGACAATCATACAATTTTTTTTTTCTTACAAAATATTTTTCTAGTTTTTTTTTTCTTAAAAAAAACCAAGTTGGTTCTAATAATATCTAAATTTCATTAAATTACCAGGGAAAAAATATTTTCTTTTCCTAAATGAGAATTCAGTGATAATATGCTTGCTGCTCCATAGAAGGTGGCTGTTCTTTAACTTGTATCAACCTTCCTTGTTTGTACCATGCCCCCAACACACATACACATACCACACCATACCATGAATATTAACAAGGGAAAAATGGCCTGAATTTTATTTTCTGGGTATGATGACATTCAAATGAGTTATAAAATATGCAAATGTATTTTAGATTCCTTTCTTGGTGCACAAATCCATAACATTTTTCTCCTAGGTTGATAATATGGTCATGAAGTTCTTGGGTGCTGCATTTTGTACAACCAGCTCTTGCAATGTGAGAGAACCATCATCCACTTGGGGGCACCCAGGTACTTAATGAAAAAAAAAGAAGGCATTGCCAAGAGAAAGTAATTTGATCACAAAAATAAGGGAAAATACTCAGGGTAGATAATCTATTCCAACATAACAAATCCAGAAAGTAGGCCTGTGTTGTACAGAGATGACCATGCCCTACAGACACCTAATGTACCATACAGACTCGGTAAAACCCTGGTCAGCTACCTGTTAGTTGGTACTTCAGCACAGGCATGTAGCCTGAGAGACAGAGGGGCCCAGAGGTGGACAAGCAGAATGGGCATTGATTGGGAAGAGAATTCAACTGTAAGCTTTCCAGGGCAGGGACCATGTTTGGTTGACTCTCTGTTGTGTGCTGGGTGCCTAGCACTCTACTGTAGATATGAACTCAGTAATATTTGTTTAATGAATGGCTGGCTGGATGAATTGAGTGAATCTAGGAGGAATTTAACAGGAAATGGATGGACAGAGACTGAAGGTTTAAAGCAGTGATAACTTACCGATGAAGGGAGTTAGTTAGCATGAGGCATCACTACGGAGGCACTGCACGTATTGAAAGATCTATTTGATTGGCTAGAATGTTTGCATAAGAGATAAGAATTCATAAGGAAATTCCCATGTTACCTATTCTAGTTGCAGTTTTGTCAGATGAGATATTTTGTGATATTTATTATATATAAAATATATTTCTTTAAATGTTGATTTGTATTTTGAGTAAGTAATTAAACGACACAGAAGCTCAACTGACATGGAAGTTTAAATTACAAATTTTATGGTGCCATCCCGAACAGTAATGTTGCTTTGAGCAAAAGAAATTCTGAAATGCTGTTTGAGTCCTCAAACAGTATTCAATTATGATAAAAATATTCTAGTGCTCCTAATTCTTTATTCTGTCTAATTCTTTGAGATTAGAATAATTCTAATACTTTGGATATCCAAGTATCTGCTTAGACAGCTCGATTGCTGCATTTCTCTCTGACTCTGGGCAGACAGGATTCTATAATGCAGAATCAGTCTTACCAGCCATTTCCAGATGGACTTGAGGGTGGCTGCTCCTTGGTTTAGAAAGACAATCTTACTGGATCTTTTCTTTATCTTCCTGGACTCAGAAATTCACTTTTATTAGTTCAGCCAGGGATAAATGAATCCTACAGGTTTGCTTAAAATCAGATTCACTGGGATTGATGAAGAGCAGGATAATAGTTTATTTATTCTGAGAAATTGCTATTTCCAAATAGTTGGAAAAGTTTATTGGTGGGTAATTATTCTTCTGCCAGGAAAATGTGCCACGAACCTACATTAAGGTGACAAGATTGCTTTATTCTGCTGAGCAGAATAAAGGGAGCCTGATGGCCTTAATCCTATAATACTGTTTCCAGTTTGGAAAGTCAACCCAAGAAACATTTATTGAGGGCCTACTGCATGTGAAGGAAAGGAAGCTGGCAGTTATTGAACCCCTCCTGTGTGGTAAGCACTGTTTAGTGCTTTAACACTTTGGTTTTTACATGCTTGTTGCATTTAATCCCATTGAATGGGTAAATCACTGTAGAGAGTACAGGGCTGAAAGAAGCAGCCTCTGCCCACAGGGATGTTCTAGACCTGTACTGTCCAGTATATTGTCCCCTAGCCACACGTGGTTATTTGAGAATTGAAATGTGGCCAGTCCAAGTTGAAATGTGCTCTAAGTGTAAAATAGACACTGGAGGCTGGGCGTGGTGGCTCACGCCTATAATCCCAGCACTTTGGGAGGCCAAGGCGGGCAGATCATGAGGTCAGGAGTTCAAGACCAGCTTGAACAACATGGTGAAACCCCGTCTCTACTAAAAATACAAAAATTAGCTTGCCGTGGTGGCACGTGCCTGTAATGCGAGCTACTCGGGAGGCTGAGGGAGGAGAATCGCTTGAACCAGGGAGTCGGAGATTGCCATGAGCTGAGATCATGCCAGTGCACTCCAGCCTGGGCATCGGAGCAAGACTCCATCTAAAAAAAAAAAAAAAAATAGACACTGGATTTCCTAGTACACAAGAAATGTAAAATATCTCATTAATAATTTTTGTGTGGATCACATTTTGACATGACACAGTATTTTGGTAAATTAGGTTAAATAAACTCATTAAATTATTTTCACCTATTTCATTGTACTTTTGATGTGGCTACTAGAAAATTTAAAATTATATATGTGGCTCACTTTTGTAACTCATACCGTATTCGGTCGGAATAGAGAACAGAATAGAGGTAAGACATAAACATAAATTGTTGAGATCTAGGCTCTCTTCCAACCTTATGACAAGCATTTAAATTGGAGTAAACATTTCAAAGGATACTTTGGCAGTATCCCACAACAATAAAATCTGGATCTGTACAGGACTTACTGTAGTATTCCTGTAGTACTCTGTCTGTACTTCAGAGACAGAATGCCGAGCTTAAAATAGGTGCACCTAACACTGTATTTAACTTTTCCTTATGATTCCGTCTAAAATATGTATTTGTATGTTATTAGCTGTTAATTGACTATAATATGCCAGGCACTGTGTGAGGTGTCCACTACAATGGTAAATATGGAGATCCAGATTCAAATATTAGATGATTCTCTCTAAGGGGGGAGTTTCTATAGATATTTGCTATCTATAGGTAGCTATGATACCAGATACAAAGTGATAGATGCCTTATGTGTGGCAGGTAAAAAGCTTTGGTGGTTCTAGAGGAGTGTGGTCACTGTCTGGCTTGGAGCCTGTGTTTGAGCTGGAGCTTGAAGAAAAATAGGATGTCTATGGAAAGATTGGGCAGGTTGCAGTGGTGGTGATCCAGGGGAGGGAACAGCAAGAGGAAAAGCTCAGAGATGAGACATTCTTTGGGAAGAATGGGGCTAATTCATTTGCCTGGGACATGGCATGTGTGCAGGGGAATGATAAGAGACTGGACTTTAATAGTGGAAGGTCAGGCTAGGGAATCTGGACTTTTTTTCCTGGGTACTTAAATGTTATTCAAATGGTTTCTTAAATACACAATTAGCGGTCCCTCTAAAATTCTGAATGCCTGAACACGTGCTACTGTCTTTTTTTTTTTTTTCCTTCTGAGAATGAGGTGACTTAGTGCTTACATGTTTTTAAAATAAATTCTCTTGAAATAATTACTTTGAGACTAGTTTCTTCAAATCCTCCAAATGTGGTATTTGTTTTGTTCCAAGCAGCAACATGTGCTTTTTAGGAGTGAGAACTATAAGACACAAAGAGTTGAGCTGAGACAGGAGGATACATTTTTCTCTGATAGCCAATTTGTTGAAGGGTTCAAAAATTACACCAGCTCTTTATGTGTCTTATATTTCCCATTCTATGAAAGAAAATCACTTCCGTAGAAGTTATTTTTAAGAATATGAAGTCAAATAATACCCCTGGGTCTTGAAAAGACCAAATGGGTACACATACTATCCAGACACAGAGAGTATAAGACAAGAGTCCTGAAAATGCTGGAGAGTGTTACAGTTAAGAGGGTGGGCTGGGCGCAGTGGCTCACACCTGTAATCCCAGCACTTTGGTAGCCTAAGGCAGGCAGATCACTTGAGCCAGGAATTTGAAACCAGCCTGGGCAACATAGGGAGACTGCATCTCTACAAAAACATCACTACAAAAATTAGTCGAGTGTGATGGTGCGTGCCTGTAGTCCCAGCTACTCGGGAGGATGAGGTGGGAAAATCACTAGAGCCTGAGAGGCAGAGGTTGTAGTGAACCGTGATTGTACTACTGTACTCCAGCCTTGGTGACAGAGCAAGACCCTGTCTCAATAAACAAACAAATAAACAGGCAAACAAACAAACAAACCCTATCTCAATCAATAAAATAAAATAAAAAAAACAGGAGTCAAACATTTAGATTTAAATCCCAGCTCTACCATCTGCCAACTTTTATGCTCTGTCTTGTAATATCCTCAGATCAACACTTTTACGTCCACTCCTTTGACTCTGCCACCTTTTTACTTTCCATTAATGCCCTGTGTAGTCTAACTTTCCACTTTACTCACCTTATCTGCTTGGTCCACTGTTGTGGTTACTCTACTTGCCTCTCTCCTCTTTCTATCCTAGTCTCCTGCAAAACACAACCCTGGTTAAAATCACAGTTACTCAGGCATAACTCTACACTTTCTTCCAAACCACGGAGCATTCCTGGAAAACACACACACAACACTCTGATGACATTAAATTAATCACGCCACCCTCCACCCCTGCCTCCACTGATACTCAGCCCTCTCTGGCAACCCTACTTCCCTAGTAAACTCACTCTCCCAGGTGACTATTTCACACCTTTGTTTCTTTCCTCAAACCCCTAACATCCCTTCCCAGACTCTCTCTTTCAGCCATGGATCTTACTGCTTATATCACTGGGAAACTAGAAGCAGTTTCCCAGCTCCCATATTCTCTTGCATCCATCCATCATCTGTCCCCCATCCCCTGCTCTTTACCATGGACAAACGTGCATCCTCCTGGTTGACATCCATTGCACCCCAGTGGACCCCATCTGTTGCTCTTGCCTGTTCAGAACTCTGCTTCCATAGTTTCTGCCCACTAGCTTCATTAAAGTTCCTCTTTTTACAGGATCATTCTTATTCAAACATTCCATAATGTCTTCCTTCTTTACAAATACCTCCTCTTAATTCTTCATCTCCCTCCAGATTTGCCTCATATCTTTGTTCCTCTTTAAAGCAAAACTCTGATAAGTTGTCAGTTCTCACTGTCTCCAATTCCTTACCCCACATTCTCTTCTAACAACATCTTGTAAACATTTCAAACATGCAGGAAAGTTGAAAGAATGTTAAGGTGAACACCCATAAGCCACCACCTAGATTCTACAATCAATAGTTTGCTTTATTGCTTGAACATACGTCTTGTCACCCATCTATCCCTTTATCCTTTCATCAATTCAATTTATGTTTTGGATACATTTTAAAGTAAGTTGCAGGCATCAGTACACTCACTCCTAAACATTTCAGGGTACATATGATTAATTTCCTTCCCTATTTGTTTATAGTTCTCTTTTGAAGTAAAATTTATATACACTGAAATGCTCAAATCTTTAGTGTACCATTCAGAGTTCTGAAAAATGCATGTACCACCTCTGCAATCCAAACCCTTTTCAAGGTACAGAACATGACCATCGCCACAGAAAGTTCCCTCATGTTGCTTCCCAGTTAGTCCCCAGACCACCCTCTTATGCTCTGCCAGAGGCAACCACTGTTTTGATTTTTTTCCCACAATATGTTATTTTTGCCTTTCTAGAAGATTAACAAAATTGAATCATACAATGTATGTACTCTTTTATGTAAGGCTTCTTTCACTCAGCGTAATGTTTCTGAGATGTATTCATATCATGTGTATCAGTCATTCATTCCTTTCTGAGTGAATCCATTCCTTTCTGAGCTGCTGAGTATCATTCCATTGTTTGATGATACAACAGGTTGTTTATTCATTTTTCTACGGGTGGATGCCTGAGTTGCTTCCAGATTTTGACTATGGTGAATGGAGTCTTTTTTTGTGGCTGTGTTTTCTTTTCTCTTGGATAAATACTTTGGAATGAAATAACTGGGTCATAGGATAGGTGCATATTTAGTTTTATAAACAACGGCTAGACTTTTTTCTAAGCTGGTTGTAGTTTTACACTGTGACCCATGGTGAATGAGAGTTGTGCTGTCTCTGTATCCTTGCCAGCATTTGGGTTTGACGGTCTTTTTAATGTTTACTCGTTCTGGTGGGGATGTAGCAGTACCTCATTGCGTTTTTCTTAAATTTCCCTGGTGAATATTAACATGGAGCACTTTTTCATATGCTTAGTGATCACGAGTCTGTCTTCCTTTGTGGATGTCCAGTCAAATCTTTTGCTCACTTTTATCGAATTGTAGGCATTCATTATGTATTATAAAATATTAGTTCTTTGTCAGATATATGATTTGCACATATTTTATCCCAGGCTGTGGCTTTCTTATTTATTTTTTCAATGATGACTTTAGATGAACAGAAATTTTGAACTTTGGCTAAGTCTGTTTTTTTTTCTTTTTATGTTGATTGCTTTCTAAGCCATATCTAAAAGCTTTATAATTTTAGTTTTTACATTTATGTCTATGATCCATCTCAATTTTTGAGTGTGGTGTGAGGTCATGGTTGAGATTTATTTATTTTTGCTATATAGATATTTAGTTTTTTTTTTTTACCATCATTTGTTAATAAGTCATTTTTTTTCTCTATTGGATTTTTCTCTTACCTTCATGAAAATCGAGTGACCATGTAAGTGTGCATCTATTTCTGAGCTCTCTATCCTGTTGTATTGATCTATTTGTTGATCCTGTACTAGTACCACACTGTCCTGGTTACTATAGACTTACTACGATGTCTTGAAGTCAGGTAGTGTTAAGTCCTCCAACTTTAGTTTTATTTTTTTTATGGTTGCTCTGGATATTCTAAATCCTTTGAATTTCTATACACATTTAAGAATGAGATTATTAATTTGTACAAAAAAGCTTGATGAGTTTATAATTGGTATTGTGTTGGATCTATAGATCAGTTTGTGGAGAACAGAAAATTTAACAATATTTGGTCTTTTAATCCGTGAACACGGTATATCCACTTATTTAGGTCTTTAATTTCTCTCAGCAATGCCCTGTAGTCACATTCTCATTTGAGCCCACTTTTTAGGCTTTTGCATAAATTTCTCTTGAGCCCACTCTTTAGGACATCAGTGACCTCCATGTTTCTGTATCCAGTGGTCAGTTCTCAATCTTCCTCTTTCTTCATCTCTCAGCTCCTTTGACATAATTGATCTCTCTATCATTGACGCACTCTTTTCACCTGGCTTCTGTCTTTCTCACCACACTCTCCTGGGTTTCCTACTACCCCACTGGCATTTTTTTTTTTGGCCCCCTTTACTGGACCCATCTCTTCTTCCTGGTATTTAAATGTTGGAGAGTCCTGAGTGTCAGTCCTCAGACATCCCTCCTTTATTCACCCTCAGTCAGTCTGTGGTGAAAATATGTTGCTTAAAGCTAACTACCACGTTTAAAGCCACCTGAATTCCAAGTCCTGAATCTCAGACTTATGTATCCAAACCCCAGTCCTGAATCTCAGACTTAAGTATCCAAATCCCAGTCCTGAATGTTAGACTTATGGATCCAAATCCCAGTCCTCAGACTTACATATCCAAACCCCATTCCTGAATCTCAGACTTATATATCCAAACCCCAGTTCTGAATCTCAGACTTATGTATGCAAGCCCCAGTCCTCAGATTAATATCTAAACCCCAGTCCTGAATCTCAGACTTACATATCCAAACCCCATTCCTGAATCTCAGACTTATGTATATAAACCCCAGTCCTGAATCTCAGACTTATGTATATAAACCCCAGTCCTGAATCTCAGACTTATGTATATAAACCCCCGTCCTGAATCTCAGACTTACATATCCTAACCCCAGGCCTGAATCTCAGACTTACATATCCTAACCCCAGTCCTGAATCTCAGACTTACGTCTCCAAACCCCAGTCCTGAATCTCAGACTTACGTATACAAACCCCAGTCCTGAATGTTAGACTTATGTATCCAAACTCCAGTCCTAATCTCAGACTTATGTATCCAAATCTCAGTCCTGAATCTCAGACTTATGTATACAAATTCCAGTCCTGAATCTCCAGACTTACATATCCAAACCCCAGTCCTGAATGTTAGACTTATGTATCCAAACTCCAGTCCTAATCTCAGACTTATGTATCCAAACCCCAGGCCTGAATCTCAGACTTACATATCCAAACCCCAGGCCTGAATCTCAGACTTACATATCCAAACCCCAGGACTGAATCTTGGACTTATGTATCCAAGCCTCAAACTTAGGTATCCAACGTCCTACTTCTCTTCGTTTGGATATCTAAAAGGTCTCTCAAACTTAACCTACCCAAAATGGCACTGCTGATTTGCCCCAAAAACTTACTGCTTCTCCCCAGACCCCATCACCTACAATGTTCCTCAGCTGAATAATTAGACTTTTCTCCCTGTTACTCATATGAGTCTTAGAGTCTTCCTTGACACCTCTCTTTTTTTTACACTCTGCATCACGACCCACATCAGATAATCTTCTTGGCCCTATCTTCACAGTAGATCCTAGATCTGACTACTTCTCTTCATCTCCCACCTGGACTACTGCAATATTCTCCTAAGTAGTCTGCCTTCTCTCAGTCTATTCTTTTTTTATTTTTATTTTTCATTGAGACAGAGTCTTGCCCTGTCCCCCAGGCTGGAGTGCAGTGGCACGATCTCAGCACGATCTCGGCTCACTGCAACTTCTGCCTCCTGGGTTCAAGCGATTCTCCTGCCTCAGCCTCCTGAGTAGCTGGGATTACAGGCGCCCGCCACCATACCCAGCTAAGTTTTGTATTTTAAGTAGAGAAGGGGGTTTCACCATGTTGGCCAGGCTGGTCTTGAACTCCTGACCTCAAGTGATCCACCCACCTCGGCCTCCCAAAGTGCTGGGATTACAGCACCATGCCCAGCCCCTTTTAGTCTTTTCTTTACCTACCCAACTTGTGTAATCTTTTCAAATGGCACAGTGTTTCACTTTCTTGATTAAAACCTTTCAGGGCCTTTTCATTATATTTAAGGAAAAACGTAAATGAAACTATGCAATGGTTTACAAAGCCATACATAACTGGACTCCCTAGTTTCTTCTCTCACTACACCCTCTACTGTTGCCCTTTCTTTCACAGCACTGACTACACTGGCCTTTTTGTTGTTCTTGAACACGCCAAGTTTGTATTGGCCTCTGGGCCTTTGCAGTTTCCGTTTCTTCTGCCTGGGCCCTTTTCCCAGATGATTACAGAGCCTGTCACCTCACTTCGTTCAGGTCTCTGCTCAAGTGTCATCTCCCCAGAGAGGCCTCTTCTGACCATCTTATCTAAGGAGTGTGCTACCTCGCCACTTATGCCATCTCTCTCCAGATGCCATCTCTCTCCAGTCCCTTACTCTGCTTTAGTTTTCTTAACAACACTTAGTATTATCTGGCTTTATATATATTTGTTTTAATTTTTGATAGTCTGTCTTCCCTAATAGAATATAAACTCCCTGAAGATAGAAGTTTTCTGCTTTCATCACTAATGCTGAAAACAATGCCTGTCGCATAGTAGGTGCTCACTAAGTACGTGTTGAATGCCTGACCTTGGGAAATTTAAGCTTTCTGGCCCCATTTTCATCACCTGAAAAATGAGGAAAATAATTGTATCTAATTCATATGGCAGATGTGAATGTCAAATAAGATATTGAGTCTAGTAAGATATTATGGCAATAGTGTTGGCTATTATTTTGTAATTATCATTAAGTAACATAAATAATTTAAATATCTTGTAAGCAACAAATACATATATGAATGCAATGTAAGGTAGAATTTTTGCTATATGCTTTTTACAATGGTTGATTTCAGAGGTATAACTTGTAATATGTAGTTACTGATTACTAAGTTGGAGGAAGTAGTTATAAATGCATGAAAAGTTAAATGCCATCACTATTTAAATAACCCATCCAGATAAAATAGAAAGTCGCAAGGCATAATTTGTTGCCTAATGGATTTGCGGCTGCTGATGATGATTGCTGTAGTTGTTGAGCAATTTTGTTTTTTTTTAAAGCAGGGTGACCTGAAAATGCTTTGTAGAGGACATGGGTTTGGGCCGCCCCTTGAAATGCTGGGGAGGATTTGACTCCTTTACTGTCGAGGAGGGGGAAGGGCATTGCCACAGTTGGGACAGTGGCACAAACTCAAAAGGAAGGAAGAACTAGGTAATTTGAAAAACAGAATAAACCAATTTGGCTGGAAAGTGAGGTCTTGTGAGAAAGCAGATTGAGAGCAACACAAAAAACAGGGTAGGAACTAGAGAAAATGGCTTCAGGTTAAAGGAACTGCTAGGGCAGTAGGAAACCCTTCCTTAGATTGGGTAAGCAAGGAAGGAAATGCCTCTGGGCAATTAGGAAAGAAGGTAAATCATCAAGGGCTTGTTCCTGCCAGGTTGAGTTCCCTCTTCCCTTACACGCAAGCAGCTCTAAGCGAAACCTCTGCCTTTCCTACAGCGGATGGGTGTGCTGTGTCCTGAGACAGACAGCAGTAGGAAGACCAGCTCTCCGGTTCCTGGGACATAGAAACCAATTTTGAACTCTTTTCACACACAACAATTTTCACTCTAGTTTTTAGGTGACTGATTACAAGGCAAGTGACAATTTTCACTCTGGCTCCTTATTTAAAAAAGAAAGAAAATAATAGAGAAACTTGGAAATTAAAGATCCATCCATGAACATAGTAATTTACATTGTAACTGCATATTAAGAAATGTTCAGCTTTTTTTTTTAAGCAGAAGTTACTGTATTGTGTCAGATTAGTCATATAAACCCACATTCTCATTATTGTGTAAAAGGAAGTCATGTATTATATGAGAAGGGGCCAAAGTCGTCTGTGAACTGATCAGGTATTTAAAAAGAGAGGTTATCTAGTTAACCTTGAGATAAAATTTGTTTGAAATTATACAGTTTTATGTAAAATTACAGTAATTTAAAAGGGTGCTATCACACGCGCCTTCAGTTTATTGTTATTGCCAAGTTACAAAATGATGCTACACTTTGCAGGGTTAGAATAGATTTCAGAGCAATTTGTAGTAATTAAGAATAACCTTGTAAAAGTAAAAGAAGCAAAATAAAACAAAATAAAATGAAATATAGACAGGAGCCATGACAGATGTTACAGAATAGGGAAGGGATGTGAAGACAATAGGTGCCGTTGTCATTACCGCAGCCCTGGCAACACACGTCACAGATTAAATAATGAATGCCAGTTGGTGGGCACAGAGAGGAAAGAACAGAGAGCCCATTGTTTCAGCTTGTCCATCTAATTTCAAACCAATTGCTTAAGTAAAGTCTTCTGTCTTGGTTAGAGCCAATGGCAAATTAAAGAGCTGAAATATTGCAAATCTTGTAATTCACTCTGGATCACCAATCAGAACTAAATAAAAGAGCTTTGAGCAAGGAAACAAATTCTTAGCCTTACCTGTAAATAGAAGCCTGGAGAGAAGTGCAACTCATCATTTGGGTGGGCACCCACTGTGCCCACCTCTTGCGATCAGGTTCTAGCTAGTGTGGTATGAGGGAGGGGCTCTTCATCTTACTCTTCTGTGCCCATGACTACAGCTCCATAGAGTGGGGTGACAGGTACCACCGTCCGCTGCAGCACTGGCGCAGTGCTGAGGCCCAGGAAGGAGTGTCTTCTTAGATGGCAGCTTCAAGGCACGTTTGGGTTCCTGCCTTTTCCTACTCTGAATAGATGTGATGAACTAACAGGCTAATACATGTGAAAGCCCTTTGTTTACGCAAATGAAGGGGTTACTGTTTTTATTATTTTAGGGTGTGGAGTCACGTGGTAGAAAGAACACAAAGTCAGAAGTCCTGCGTTTGCATCCTAGCTTTGAAAGCTGTCTCCATCTCATACTAGGGTCCCCCTTTTCGCAGAGCTATTTTTAAGTGTTTTCCTGTGGCTTTTTCTTTCCCCTTTTATTTTAATTAATTAATTAATTTTTTTTGTTTACTTATTTTGAGACAGAGTGTCCCTCTGTCATCCAGGCTGGAGTGCAGTGGCATAGTCTCTGCTCACTGCAACCTCTGCCTCCTGGGTTCAAGCAATTGTCCTGCCTCAGCCTCCTGAATAGCTGGGATTACAGATGTGTGCCACCACGCCCGGCTAATTTTTGTATTTTTAGTAGAGACGGGGTTTCACCATGTCGGCCAGGCTGGTCTTGAACCCCTGACCTCAGGTGATCCGCCCCTCTCAGCCTCCCAAAGTGCTGGGATCACAGACGTGAGCCACTGCGCTGGGCTCTTTCCCTCTTTAAATCAGATGTTCTTTACTTTTACTTGTGCCATGGGGACCTCTTTGACATTCTAATTAAGCTAATGAACCACTCTACAGAATATTTATTCTGTAAAATTAAACACATAAAATTAAAATGCATAGGATTACAAAGGAAACCAATTATACTGACATAAAGTTATCAATATGCAAAGAAGTAAATATGTCATATTGTAATACATGTCCTTTATTAAAATGCATTACTTACCAGTATCTAGTGGCAGGTCTAATAACTACTGTAATTTTGAAATAGTGATGAGTGGAAATGATACTTTGAGATATTGCAATAACTAATGTGATATGAAAAATCCTTGATGTCTAAGAAAATATCTTTGACGTCAAAGAAAATATCTTTGATGACAAGTTACAGAAGGAAATGATAATTTTAGTTAGAAGTTAGTAAAAATAAAAATAAAATTTTTTATCAACAGCCTGAATTCTGTCTGACACCCTTAGCCTTGCCTTAAATTTCACTCTTTCTTCTCATGCTGTACATTTTCCAGGGACAAACTCTGTGTCCCACTGTCCCCCAGCTGCAGCTGCTCCTTCAGTGTCAGTGACTCCTAAATGTGCACCTCTGCTGTCTAGGCAAAGGACTGTAGCACCTGGCCTGCATCTCCTGGGGCCTGCTGGATATCCTCCCTGAACAGCTCAGAGGACCTCAAACCCAGCCTCCCTCAGTGAACTCCTTGGCTTGAGCATCTCCCCACCCTCCTCCCACCACCCTGCCCTTCCTCCTTGTCCCTAACTCTGTGAATGGCATTAGTAACCACCACGTGGCTCCAGCCCCGAGCTGGCTTGACAAGGGAGCCAGTGCGCATGCTGCTGCGGGGTTTACGGCACAAGCCTCCTTGATACAGTTTATGAAAGTATAAACTTGTATGTCTTACAGCACTGGCCTGTGCTTGCCTTTACCTGGAATGTCTAAATTCCTACTCACCCAAAAAGGCCTCATTCCTCCTACTTACCTTTTCAACATGCATATCTGGACACTTTCCGGTTTAGCATCCGTTGGTGATGCCTCTTTGCTCCATGATGTGACATAAGAGGACTCTGCCTTCCTCACAGCATTTTCTTCTGCTGGTCCCTCAGCCTTACTAAGGTCCCTGCAGGCAGTCCCTCCAATGTCCCCCACCCCGTTTACCCTTTGCCTTGGCAGACTGAGTGAGTGCCCTCTCCCTGGGGACCCTTTCCCTTCCATGTCACCTCCAGGTCTCAGTTCTGTGGCCACTTCTCTGGAAAGCCTTTATGAGGACTGTTCACAGTGCAGGCCTTATCCACTGTCTCCCCCGCCCTTGCATTTGACCAGGGCCTGGCAGGGTTTAAGTGGTACGCACTCAGGAAGAAAGAGTTTTTAAAGTACATGGCTAGGAGCACCGACCTGGGTTCTAATCCCAGCTCTGTCTCTAACTGTGTGATCTTGGCAGTGTACTTACTAGCCTTTGGACGCCTCAGTTTTATCATCTGTAAAACTGGTATAATAGCCGGGCGCGGTGGCTCACGCCTGTAATCCCAGCACTTTGGGAGGCCGAGGCGGGCGGATCATGAGGTCAGGAGATCGAGACCATCCTGGCTAACACGGTGAAACCCCGTCTCTACTAAAAGTACAAAAAATTAGCTGGGTGCGGTGGCGGGCGCCTGTAGTCCCAGCTACTCGGGAGGCTGAGGCAGAAGAATGGCGTGAACCCAGGAGGCGGAGGTTGCAGTGAGCCGAGACAGCGCCACTGCAGTCCCGCCTGGGTGACAGAGCGAGACTCCGTCTCAAACAAACAAACAAACAAACAAACTGGTATAATAATAGAGTGGTAATGTTTAAATGAGTTGGTACTTATAAAGCACTTTAGAACCAAGCTTGGCTCATCGGAAGAGCTTATATAATAGCTATCCTTATTCATTTTAGTTAGTTTGTTTGTTTTGTTTTGTTTTTTGAGACGGAGTCTCGCTCTGTTGCCCAGGCTGGAGTGCAATGGCACGAAGTCGGCTCACTGCAACCTCCGCCTCCCGGGTTCAAGCGATTCTCCTGCCTCAGCCTCCTGAGTAGCTGGGATTATAGGTGCACTACTCCACGCCCGGCTAATTTTTGTATTTTTAGTAGAGACGGGGTTTAGATGGGGTTTCACCATGTTGGTCAGGCTGATCTGGAGCTCCTGACTCGTGATCCACCCGCCTCGGCCTCCCAACGTGCTGGGCTTACAGGCATGAGCCACTGCACCTGGCCTCATTTTAGTTTTAGTAGTACAGCTTGGGCTCATTTAAAAGTCATATCCTGCTATACTCTTATTATTGCGGGGTTTTATTAAAGAATGTAGTGTAATTTGGTGCCCACCACTTAACTTTTCTTCATCTTCATTAAGGTTAATATCAGATATTCATTTTAGAAGAATTAATTTATATGTGGCAAAAGGAAATAAATTTTTGCTGAAAGATAAGAGAAATTCTGGGAATACAGACATACAGACTGATGGAGACACAGCCCCACCAGTAGTTTATCTAGCTGAGTTGGGGATTTATTCATATTTCTTCCATTTCAAAGATTGTGTTGGTCTCCCAGGAGTATTTTTTGAAGCTCTTTCTGCAGAGGAGAGATCAATATTATTTATCAGAGGATTTCCTTGGGCATGCAAATCATCATATATGTTTGCAAACCAGATCCATGTAAAATAGATGGTTTTGAATCTACTTTTTTTGCATGAGCATTTTTATATCCTCTAGAAATATATCACTATTGTGGGGAAAAATTTAATAATATTTAACGACATACTGAATGTGACATTAATGTGCTCGCATAGCTGCTCCTTCTCTGTTTTTCTTCCAACATCAAAGTAATAACATTTCCCCTGAGGTTTGTTCAGCTCATCCAGCTTTCGCTTGGTTTTGCCAGCAGGTGGGGTACTAGCTCCTTTTAAAGTCATCAGCCACAGGTCTTGAGGCTCGTTTTCTTTTTTCCCTGAGAAAAGAAATTATCTTGCCCCCTCATTCTATGGTGACCCCATGAGATCCTCTTGAGCCCTGACCTGGGAGTGGGTAGAGGGGTGGGCAAGGTGTGTATTAGATCTAAAATAGTCTCCAGGATTTTCATGGGTGAATTTGTTGAGCTAATGGCTTATATTTCACAGGTTTTGAGTAACTTGAATTTTACCAGTAATTCATGTAAATCAGTTTGGCAACAGGTGAATCAAGCTTTGCCTGCATATTTGGTCCAATCTTATGGTTTAGGAGAAACAATAATTAAAGTTCAAAAACCTTGGTTATTGTGTTGAAATAAGTCTCATTTAAACAAAATACAAATCATGGCAACAAGCCATTAGAATTAAAACTGTTCTTGGAGTTGAAAACTAGGGGAAAATAAGTATACTGTGAACACATTGTGTTAAAAAGCTGATGTTCTAACAATATGCTAGAACATTACTGACTCTGTTTTAAGATCTAACTGCTTTAAGGAATTGATTGACTACATTTTTCTAGAATGAAACATAAATTTCTTATTTTGAAATCTTAGTGAGTGGTATTAAGTTCCATTTTAAAAGGCAGCTTAAAGATCCATGTTAAAAGACGTGTCTTAGCTTATACATCCATTCTAAATGTAGGTGGTGAAACTGAATTATAAGAATGTTTTTAAGATTTATAGACACTAAGTCAGAATCAGAAGTTAGAAGGTTCTTTGACAAAATTTCCTATTGAACTTATGTTAATCGTTGGATTTGATGAGGTTTTTAAGCTTATTCAATGTTATCTGAAAATAGTAATACTATCTACATTTGATTCTCAGAAATGATAACTTCATATGTCCCTCTTATGCAATGTGAAATTACAGTGCTATCTGTTCCATAACTGCCACACAACTTGAACAATATAAAAGTCATTTCATGGCCCTAATGGAGGGCAGACTGTATCCCCTTGCTTAAAATTAATCATTCACTTTATTGCAGTGTCTGAGGGGAGAGAAGGGAGTGAGAGTTCTCTTTGTTTAAGTTTGTGTTATGGTTTTCTTGGGCAGCAAGTACAAAAGTGCAGCCTGAAGCTGTAGCTCATTCTGTATGTGGGTTTTATTTCTCACAGCAGTCCGGTGTCTCTTTAACATATGGGGAGTGGTTTCAAGTTCATTACTAAAGCTTATAGGCTAAAGTGCTTTGTGGGCTTGGCTATGACTTAAGTTGCCTTGAGGGAGTCAGCCAAAACTGGGCTTGGGAACAGGAAGGCTTTGCCCGTTTATTTGGATTCTCAGGGTAGTCGATTTTGCCACCTCTTGGCTATCAGCTGCCTTGGAGATTGGTTTCATAGTAAGGATTCTTTCTTTAAGGTGATATGGAGCAACTGCTTTCACAGGGGCACCAGGTTAGTAAATAACATTTTGCACTTTCTGCTGCGTGTGTCAGATTTTCTTTCTGAGCTCACGGTGTGATGATAGGACAGACTGGGTTGCTGCGTTCTTTTAGAAAATAATGTGAGTTCGTTTATCCTGCAGAGGTTTAGGGGGTTATGTTTCTCCTTATAATATATGCATTTTTTGACCATATTAAATACAACTGGAAGCCAAGTGGAAATGACATATTAGTATCTGTGTTGGATTTGCAGTCCAGAGGTCTTGTTAGTAAATATCAGCCCTGCCCCCGCCCCCTTTTTTTTTTTTTTTTTTTTTTTGAGATAGGGTTTTGCTCTGTCACCAAGGCTGGAGTGCAGTTGAATGATCATGGCTCACTGTAGTCTCAACCTCTTGGGCTCAAGCGATCCTCCCACCTCAACCTCCTGAATAGCTGGGATTACAGGTGCATGCCACCGCACCCAGCTAATTTTTTTTTTTATACTTTTTTATAGAGACCAGGTTTTGCCATGTTGCCCAGGCTGGTCTCCAACCCCAGGGCTCAAGCGATTTGCCTGCCTTGTCCTCCCAAAGTGCTGGGATTACAGGCGTGAGCCACCTTGCCTAGCCTAGTTCCTTTCTTATAATTGCTTTCTTTGTGTCGTCGCACTAGACCTTCTAGGTATAAATATGATTTTATACACAGTTGATTTTATTTTTTGAAACGTTAAGTAGTGGAGTGTTGGGCCCCAGTTGGGGTTGTCCTCCCTCACCCCACTGGTGCGTGCTTGTCTGATGCACGGTTTTTCTTCAGGCCTACTCCTTGGAGTTTCAGTGAACCAGAATATCATTTTAATTTTTCTCTTTGAAAAGTCTGGCACTTTTCTGGAATGCCTCAAAATACTGGCATAAGAATTGATTCAGGCAGAATGTACAGGTGGATTAAGCCCAATTGAATTTTGTCTTCAGTTTTGCTGTTTTTATTCTCAAGTGATTCTTCAGAATACGAGATTACCCGAGGATTAAAGAACAGCTGTAAAAATGGAGTGTGACTTGTAAAACATAAAAGTATAGTTAATAGTAATTAAGAAATTAAGTCAATATAATTAAGCACAGAGAAAGACATTGTCTTCCTTAATCTCGTTAATTTAAAGATCTAAAGAGCAATTCTGCCTTTATTAATTTGCCACCAAAGCAATCTGGCATGAAATTGTTCTATAGGAGTAGTTCAATTTGGTGTTTTAAAGTTTGCAACACTTTATGAAATATAGTTTCTCTTGCTTTCATGTTACTTTAAGGATGCTTTAGTTCAGGGTAATGTACTAGTGTTTTAAATATGCTAATATGCTTCTGTTATTGCCATTTTATTCTCCTTTTTTCCCCACTGCGAAATACAGTGTATTAGAAAGGGTCTGTTCTTTCATGTTCTTCTCTGCTTAAAAAAAATTGAGGGGGAAGGGAGACAGAAATAGGTACTTAAAAAAGATCTCTGAGGTGATATGCTAAACTTTAAGGATCCCTTTCCCCATCAGTGCTAAGTTGAAGTTACAATGTTATGGCTGCATGCCATTTCGGGATTACAAAGTGGACTGTATTTTATACCCCCTAAGGCACAATTGTACAGCTGTGTTATTGCCCCTGCCTCTGTAGATATTTTCTTTAACAGTAAGTTTATTACATCATTTTAGCTTTCCCAAAAGTGCAAAGATTGCTATGACTTTGCTATGTTTTATATACATGCCATATATATGCTATTACTACGCATATATGCTATTGTGCAATTATTAATTATTAAATGATATTAAATTTTAAGGAACGACTTGTCCACCTGATTGTAGCTGCCTGATGATTTTAGAGAGAAATATTAAGACATTTTAGTCGTTGATTACTTGTTTGTGCTTGATGGGTACAGATAAAGGTCTTTAAAAGCTTACATGAAACTCATTTGTATCTTGTGGATCTCAGTTTCTGTGTTCCCAAGTGCTTCATAGCTTTTCATCTAGAGATGGTAACAAAGCAAAGACCACAGATTCGAAACAAAAATAATGTGGCAAAGGATTAGATAAGAGGGAAACTCCCTAAAAACCAGATTTTAGGGTTTTCCCAGAGAATATACACGTTAAAATGTTTCCTCCAAACGTGGGAGAAAAAAAAGGACTGTACAGTAGAGAGTTCAAAATCTGTAAATTTGGGGTAAAGTGTCTAAGCAAACCTTAGATTATTCCTGATTCTAGGTTTGGAACACACATTGCATTCTTGCTCTCATTCTGCTGGACTGGCTTAATTTTGTTATATCTGGGTCTTTTGGCTAATAAGAGATGAGCATTTGTCTCATAACATACCATCTAATTTTAAGTTGAGTTTTGTGCTAATTAATTTTTATCCAACATGCTTTCTTGTTGATAGTCAAAGTGACTTAGATGTCTCACACATCTCAGATGGTTTATGGACCTCGCTGTGACCCAGAAGGGCGTGATGCCAATTTTCTTATAAAATGAATCTGAGTTTCAAAGCTGGAGAGAAATTCTTAGGCAAACTTTTTTAACTTGAATTGGCTACGCCCCAAACGTTGAGGAAGTTGCATGGCAGTAGAAGATCAGGACTCTGAGGAAAGAATTGAAGAACTAGGAGTAGTAGTGGTATTAGAGATGAATTTTCTGACCGTCGAACCTTGGTAGATTTTCACCTGATGGACCAGTTCCGTTCTTCACAGCCCAGATCACTCCTTGTTCCTGTGTGATCACACATAGTCTTGATCTTTGCAGCGTACGGTTTGGGAGGTGCAGGCTTTTCATCTGCAGTTTATAGCCTTGTCAGCTTCATGTATTGACTAAAATGAACTGTGCCACATCTGCCTTTTCCATGCCTAACCTCCTGGTTCTTGCCCCCCTCAAGAACCAGGTGCTTGTGTGCACATAGGTCTTATGGTTACGTACCAGAAAATGTGGGAGATTGTGATGCCATCCACCCTGGAAATTCACTATTTTAGTAATGTCAGTAAATACTTAACTTCCCAGAGGGATTGCAAAAGTTGAGGATAGAGTATACTCCTGGAGCTGATCTGACCACAGAGCTCCCCAGTTGCCTGTTTCATTCTGAAGAACCCAATTTAAGTTTGACCCAGCATTTCTGGGGTAGTAGTACTACCCCAGTTAGTAGTAATAGTCATAGCAGAAGTGGTAGAATAGTGGTAATAATAATAATAATAATAATAATAATGAACACATAAAAGTCATTTCCTAAGTGCAGTCACTGTTCTAAGCCCCAGCCCCCCTCTCTTTTTTTTTGAGGCAGAGTCTCACTCTGTTGCCCAGGCTGGAGTGCAGTGGCACGATCACTGCTCACTGCAACCTCAAACTCTTGGTCTTAAGTCAGCCTCCCACCTTGGCTTCCCAAAATGCTGGGATTACAGGCATGAGCCATGTAAACAAAATGCTGGGATTATAGGCATGAGCCTTGTAAACATGCCCGGCCTGTTCTAAGCCTTTTCCTTAATCCTCACAACAACCTTAAGTTGTTGATTTTCTTTATTATCTCCATTTTACAGTTGAGGAAACTATTCAAGAAAGTTAGATTGACCTAAGTCAGAGCAACTAGTAGGCAGCTATGACAGTGTTGTGCATCAGAAGGTGCTGTGGAGGGGGAAGAACTGAAAATAGAATCCAATATTAGAAAAATATAAGAAAAAAATACAACCTAATACATTTTGGATTGTATTATGTCCAATATAACCCAGTACTTATTATTGAGAAACAACCATGTAGATACTGACATCTGTGCTGCTCTTCATTTAGAAGATGCTCTGTTGACTTACTGTCAACCAGCAAGGCAAGCCATTGGTGTCCTTTCTCTACTTGGGTTGGTAAGCTTGTGCTCCACTTTCTCACCTACTCTGCTCGTGACCAGTGGCAAGAACCTGGTGACCAATGGCAGGATATAGAGGTTGCCCATGGCCCGTAAATGAGACCAGTAGTGGCCAGGCCGTATGGAGAATAGCCCACTGCATTGAATACTGTCTTTTAAACACTTAAGCTACTTTTGGGATTTTAGAGACTTTTTAAGGCTAAAATAATAAAGCCACTAAAGCTAGGAACTTGGACTTTTCTGATTGTTTAGTTTTAATTTGGCCAGTAGGAGTGTCCTCTTTATTTCTGCCCAGTATGACTTCCTGCTAGTAATCAAAGCTCTGGTTATTTGGCAGTCTTGAAGGTTTCCTTAAGTTTAGTGGATAACCAAGATTATGAGACATATATTTTTTTAAAAGACATAAATGTGCATTTGAAAAATATTGGGCAAATAACTTCTACCCAATTTGGCTAAAATTTAAACGTGTTACAAATAAGTTTAGAACCTTTAACAATATAGAACAAGATAACCCAGACAGATTAAGGAGCTAACTTAAAAGAAAGAAAAGAAACGAAAAAATAAAAATTCTGATCTTTGAATGGGTAAGCACTTTCTCTTCCCAAAATCAATAGAGGAAATCACAAAAGGAAAAAGTCAATAGATTTAAATTTTCTAGGTAGGAGTGTAGACGCTTTAAGTATAAAAATGTTAATTGAAGCATTATTTATTACCATGAAAAGTTGCAAATAATAAAAACATAAAGTAGCAGAAGAAAATTGCATGACGGACCATCACAATTTTATTTATGGAAAATTGTAATAGGAGGAAATGGTGATGATAGATATTTAAGTAAAAATAATGGATATTAAACTATCTCTCCATCACACATCTGAATGTGTTTAAAATATACCTCTCTATGTGTGTGTTATGCTTACAGAGACAATAGAACGGATGATCACCTTAAGTTAATAGGGATTTAGGGGTTATTTTGAAGGTGGGATTTCTGATGATTTATATTTTCTTCTTATACTTTTCTACATATTGGTATTTTAAACATGATTACTTTATATTCATTT
Organism: Homo sapiens; assembly: GCF_000001405.40. Taxonomy (NCBI): domain Eukaryota; kingdom Metazoa; phylum Chordata; class Mammalia; order Primates; family Hominidae; genus Homo; species Homo sapiens. The sequence goes on along the minus strand of NC_000003.12, from coordinate 171,766,307 downwards.
TAAAAAAGGGAAAAACTATTCATGGAGAAAAAAGTGAGACTATACCAACATATAATAGTAGAAATAGTAGACTAACATTACTCTTAATCTATTTAAGGTATTGGCTCTAAAACTGATTTTAATTTCCTCAAATTTGTATATATTTAAGGTTTTCTTAGATGAGAATTTATCATTTTTATAATAAAAATTAAAATTGATTAGAAGTGACAGGTTAGAGTTGAGGTAAAATGAATTTTTATAAAGGACAGAATCATTTTACTTTGGAGAACAATTATATTGCTGCCCTTATACATCATGTTAGGAAACACCTTTTTGACTTTTCTGTGTCAAGCTTAAAATTTCAGTTAGGTTTTTATAGCTAATTAAACTATAAGGTAGATAGTGTATTTAATAAAGGATACGGAGGAAGTTCATGTAAATACCTGAAACATCAGTCCAGGAAAGATTCTTTGAGAGATTTTCAATATGTCCAGATGTCTGGATAACAATTCTTTGGTCTAAACGCAGTTGATGATGTGATGAAAGGGACAAGTCAGCATACCAAGACAATCCTTAGAAGGGACGATTTGACTGGAATGCTGAAGACAGAAGAAAACCTTAGAGTAGCTGACTTCATACTTCCCCTTCCTCATTTTACAGATCAAGTCACTGAAGCCCAAAATGATTGAGTCCTCAAGTCTACAAGGTCGTAGTAGATTCGAATGGAAGCTTTTGGGGTCCTTTGATTCCCCCTCTGCTGCTCTTTATAATATTCTGCTCGTTTTCACACACTTTAGTAATGATGAATGAAATTTTATTTCCATTTCTCCTAGGTTGGTAAAAACTCAAAGCTAACACCATTCAGAACTTACCTAATGATGTTTGAAAAAGAGGCGGTAGGCTGATAACTGCTTCCTAGGAAGACCTACCAACTTCACCAGCATGCTCATTACTCTCATCATTGTTGTTGGAACATTTTGTTCTTGGGTACAAGCTTACTTTACACACATCTGGTTACTATGTTTGTTCTGGAAGACGGCAGCCTCATGGAGTGACTAGAGAACACTTGATACTGAGCTCTGGAAATCGTTTTTTAACAGCTTTATTGATATTGTATAATTTACAGATCATCAAGTTAAGCCCTTTAAAGTATACAATTCATTGGTTTTTTGAATATCTACAGAGTTGTGTGACCATAACTATAGTCCATTTTTTAAACATTTTCATCACTCCAAAAGGAGACTTTGTACCCATCCTCCCTACCTCTCTCTTTTCCTCCCCTAGCTCTAGGCAGCTTTCTTTCTTTTTCTTTTTCTTTTTCTCTTTCTTTCTTTCTTTCTTTCTTTCTTTCTTTCTTTCTTTCTTTCTTTCTTTCTTTCTTTCTTTCTTTCTTTCCTTTCTTTCCTTTCTTTCTTTCCTTCCTTCCTTCCTTCCTTTCTTTCTTTCTTTCTTTCTTTCTTTCTTTCTTTCTTTCTTTCTTTCTTTCTTTCTTTCTTTCTTTCTCTTTCTTTCTTTCTTGATTTGCCCATTTTGAACATCTCATATGAATGGAATCATGCAATATGTGAGAATCCTGAAAATTTTGATTTGATTTTCAAAGACCGTGTAGACAAACATGACCTGGTTACTCTGCAGGCCCCATCTTCCCAACAGTGTCCTGAGTGTGAGATTAAGACCAAATGAACTCTGTCAGTGCTGCCAACTGTTTTATTGGATTAAATGACTTGTTTTTGGCCTCTGGAGTGTCTAACTCTTTAACTTTTCAAAGTTAAAGAAAAGTACATACTCATTAATGTGAGTGTGTTGTAGGCCATGTTGCAAAATTACTGGGTTAGATCATTGCTTATTAGTTGTGACCTTGAGCAAATTACATGACTTCTCTAAGACTCAACTTCGTTGCCTTATAAAATGGGGATAATAATTGTACTTACCTTAGAGGGTTCTTGTAAGAATTAAATGAAATAATGTATATAAAAAGCTTATCATAATGCCCCATACATTATAAGTGTTAAATGAATATTAGTGATTCTTATGTGTCATCAAAAATAAACTGTAGACCAGGCGCAGTGGCTCATGCCTGTAACCTCAGCCCTTTGGGAGTCTAGGCAAGAGGATCACTTGAGCCCAGGAGTTTCAGATCACTCTGGGCAACATAGAGAAACTCCATCTCTACTAAAAACATAAATAAAATTAGCTGGACGTGGTGGCATGTGACTATGGTCCCAGGTATTTGGGAGGCTGAGGTGGGAGGATTGCTTGAGGCCAGGAGTTCAACGCTACAGTGAGCTTTGATCACCCATTTTAGTAATGATGTATGAAATTATATTTCCATTTCTCCTAGGTTGGTAAAAACTAAACGCTAATGCCATTCAGCATTTACCTAATGATGTCTGAGAAAGAGGTGGTAGGCTGATTACTGCTTCCTAGGAAGACCTATCAACTTCATCGGCATGGAGACAGAGCAAGACTCTATCTCAAAAAAAAAAAAAAAAAAAAAAGAAAGAAAGAAAATAAGCTGTATAATGTTATTTTATTCTATTTTTATGACTTTATGCTATACCAAGGATTTGAATTGGCTTACAAGAATATTTGCATAACATTAAACATATACACATACATACACCCAAGAATAAAACATTAAAATCAGGGATCAGGAATAATTGTGTTAATAGAAAGATAATATCAGAGGAAATAATAACAGTAGTAATGATAGCCAACATGTATACAGCAGGTTCTCTTTTCTTTTCTCCTTTTTTCTCCTCGTCTTGTCTCTCCCCTCCCCTCCCCTCCCCTCTCCTCCCCTCCGCTCCCTTCCCCTCCTCCCCTCCCCCCTCCCCTCCCCTCCTCCCCTCCCCTCCCCTCCCCTCCCCTCCCCTCCTCTTTCTCTTCTTTTCTTCTCTGTTTTAGAGCCAGAGTCTTGCTCTTTTGCCCAGGCTGGAGTGCAGTGGTGTCATCAAACTTCACCGCAGCCTTGACCTCCTGGGCTCAAGCTAATCCTCCTACCTCAGCCTCTCGAGTAGCTAGGACTACAAGTGTGAGCCACCATGCCTGGTCTATAGCATGTTTTTAATAAACCTTTCTTTCAGTGTCTTTCCATGTGAGTTGAGGGAATAATGCCAAATCATAAATGAGCAGAGACAACCAAATGAGAGTCCCAGGCTGGGAAGGACCTTCGATGGTTTCTGGTCCACACTCACACTGGGGCATGAGACTTTGCCATAGAAGACAATTTGCTGTGGTATGGTGCTGGAACTCAGAGTGTGAGAGTGAGTTCACCATCTCACAATATGAATAGCTACTATTTATATGTATCATAAGCACTTACTATGAGCTAAGTTAGAATTAGAATCCAAAATGACTCCAAAACTATGTAATCAGGAAGTAAAATTGCTTACTTAAGGCAACTAGTTTTCTTGTTAATAGTTCTGTTTTATAGAATGTTCTCACACATGTTAAACTGAAATTTACACTCTTATAGCTGCCCCCTTACCCTCCCAAGTCTAGTAATATCTTCTACATGGAGAACCAAATGCCTAATCTGCTAGTCCTTCAGATATCTGAAAACAATTATCATTATCCTCACCTAACTCACTTTCTTGCTCAGACATCCAGAGATGCATATATTGTTCCTTAGATTGCACAGTCCGACCCACCATACCCCTTCCTCTCTCCTGGAACGGGCTTTCCACTCACGTGAGCTCCTAATTGGTCTTCAAGATTCCTGTCCAAGGTGCTTTATCAGCGGCAACCTTCCCCAATGCCCAGATGTTGAGCAGCTCCTCCTCTGGGTCCCCGCTACACTTCTGTTCACACTCTTGAGAATTCACTGTGTCCTCCCCTGGCTTGTGAGCCCCTGAGAGAGAGCTCTGTTTAGCTTGTGTTCCTAAACCCCATCCCAGCCCCTGACACTTAGTAGCTTCTCAATACAGTGGAAGAGGGAACTTGATCTTACTTCATGTGGATATTTAACTATATCTGATTTTAGAGAGTTTGCAACTATAAGAGATGTTTTTGGATATAAAATGTGTAGACAAACCTTGATTAACTGAGGGCTGAAGAAGATGACCAAAAAGCCTATGGCTTCTCCTAGACCAAAAGTAGCATCATCTGGGGAATAAGACTGTGAAGCCCTTGCACTTGGTTACTGCATCATTCATTTTCACTTGGTGTCTGCTAATATCCTGATGTAAGTAAGGTGCTCGTCTGTTGGACAAGGTTGATACCCACCACCTTTGCTCAGAGAAATGTAAATAAAATGATTGTAACATTTTACATATGGTTGAATGATAAAGTTCACAGTAAACTTAATACCAGTGTTCAAATGAATGCTGATAAGAAGATAGAGTCCAAAGTTACGTTTCTGTATTAATCTGAGACCTTTGCAGTTTTCATGGAGTATGTATAGATATTTTTTCTTAATGTGTGGATAGAGGGTTAATTTAAGAAAATGTGTGTTAACGGGGGAAACAAAGAGGCTGGCCTGCATCTAAAGGAAAGAAAGTGGATCTTACCAAGGGTTTGTTGTGATTCATAAAAACTGGTCCACATCTTAAATGGATTAATTATAGGCCCAACTGGAACATTCTTCACAGAATGAGCCCAGGTGCTGGTCATTTTATCTGGGAGTCTCAGGACTTACCACGTGCCTACTCTGAGCACTAGACTTAATACTTTCCCACTCTGTAAATCCTAGGAAACACTGCTTCTTGACACCTGAGTTTGAATTTTCCAGGCTTCTCCATCCAAGTTGAGTCTGCCTCCCTTGTGCATAGTTACAGCACCAGACACCCCGGTAAAACCACCTTCTTCTCCTTGCTTTTTGCTGGTTTTGCTCTGGTGGAGGTCTTGCCTAGGTCTGGAGGAGGAAGAGTCAGGTGTGCAATTCTGAAGTTGAGGTAGATGCCAGCGTGTGTTTTCTGAGACCAAGGAGGCTCTCCTGGAGAGTGCTGGCTCTAGGAAACTCAGGGGCTGATGAAGCATCTCCTTTTTTAGGAAGCTCTGCATTTTCAAAGGCCTTTTAACTGTTGGATGGCTGGATGTATTAGAAAGTGAGTGACTTGCCATGGTCTGTAGAAGGGGATATCCAGACCCTTCTTTGCCTGACTATAAAGTGTGTTCCTACCACTTGCTCTGCTCCCTCCCAAGTAGCCCTGCTGTGATGTTGGCTGATCCAAAATTCCCAGGGCTTTCTCACAAGAATAGCTGCTAGTCCAGGCAACTGCCAGCCTATACATGTATACGTGTGTTTAAACTTAAATGAAGATGTATACATTTATCTTATTAAATTTTGTCTCTTTTATTTAGCAAGGAACAACTCTGTGTATGTCCCTTTCCCCATATTTTTACAGTGTGATTACCCGATCAAAAAGTATAAATGCTTTTGTTGCTCTTCAAATATCCTACTAAAGTTTGCCTGAGAATGGTGTCTCCATTAACAATGCCACCAGCAAGAGGTTGCTTCAGCACAATTGTTACTAGCTTTTAATACGATCCATTGCTTGTCTCATTTGGGCTGGGAACTTGGGTCCCTTGTGGAAAACTCATGCATGTGATTCTCTCTTGGAGTTCCTCAGGTCCCCCTTAAGCTCCCATCCTAGGCTGACTCAGGCTGGTGAGTTACCCTGCCAGGTGCTCCCTTGGTAATTAACATGTGTCTCCAGGTTGCAGTGGCCTCTGGACTCCGCCTTGAGCCAGACACCTTGGATTGCACTGCCCCAGACTTTGCTGTGCTTCCCTCTCATCCTCTGACTTTGAGCATGCTCACTTTCTTCCTTTTCCATCATTGTAAAATCCTAGGTTATTTTAGGCAGTTTATAGAAATTCTCTGAAACTAGAGGATGTCTCATGACAGTAACAGAATAAGAGTGTTGAGAATTAAAAGCAATTCTTTTTATAGAACCACGGTGGTTGAAGGAGGGATGTCTTGCAAACTTTCTAGAAGATAATACCTAGATGATTGATTAGCAAGAAATCCATTCTAATTATTCTAGTTATCACTAGATGAAGGCAGGGAAAGTGATAGCAGAAAGTGTGAAGAATGTGTAATTGAAGGCATTAAGGAAAAGAAACCACCTGCTAGATTTTAAATCACAAAAAGGATAAAACTCAATAAAAGAAAGAATTTCTACCTGTATACTGTGTCATTCTCTTAGTTCTAGGAAGTGTAGATCTGTAAAAATGTAATTTTAAAAAATAAATGTAATTTATTTTTAAAACGGGAATAAATAAAAAAGTCAAATATACTTCTTGGCTTCTACTAAAACCTCCTTTCATTATTTGCATGACTATTATAGGTGGAGTTATTAGGGTTCGATAACTCTATCTTGACCCTTTTGTAGCAACAATGAAATATCAGTCTTGCTTTTGCAAGCAAAATAGCAGAGCTTCTGCCCTTGGGGAAGCAAGAGAAATGACAATAACCGAAAGGACAGTAAGACTGTTCTGTTAGAACATCAGTGTTGGGTTTTTGTTAAGAAAAGAAGTAAAACAGCAAGTGGCCAGACAAGCTAATTGCTAAGTAAAATGTAAATTGAATATTGGGCAAGATGTTAAAAAGATGTTTGAATAAGTAAATATTAACTAAACAATTAGCAATAGATTTGATTATGCTACATGAAACAAAACGGTATGTGTATAAACACAAAGCCACGTACATACACAAACGTGTAAAATATCTTTAATTTTCAGGAATGGAATTCTCTAGCTTTTCTATTAGGAAACTAGAAGGTTCCCTTTTCTTCTTTTTCTCCCTTTTCTGCTCCCCAAATTTCCCTTTCTGTTCTTCTACTACTACCTACTTACCCGCTAACCATCAAGTTACTAGTATGAGGGCATAGGGTTGAGAGAATGTATTCTGGAATTAAATTAGAAGAAGAAAATTCCATAGAATTTCTCTTTCAAAGAATAAGTGTAAAATTATCTTTCTTGAATGAAAAGGAAAAAAATTAGTATCTTCAGTAATTAGTATCTTCAGTATCTGGATATCATCAAAATATAACTTCATTCCATTATTTGCATGACTTTTATAGGTGGAGTTATTGAGCAAAATGAACTCTCTTGTGAGAGGACAGCTACTGTCCTGCACCTCTCAGCCAAAAATGCAGGACCTTCTGCCTGAATAAGGCATACCGCTTAAAAAGAAAACCATAAACCTTACTGAAAAAAACTCATTTAAATCCAGTTTAAGCTCGTTTGTTAGCCTTAGTGTTGTATATGTGCTAAAAAAAAAATTGTGTTAATATTTAAAAGGAAAAAGTGGCCTTGACAAGAAGCAACTGCTGGATTGTGAAGGAAGGTGGTAATATCATACACATGTTGAGTTTTATCAATCCACAGGGCAGCTCTACTTTGCCTGATGAGTGATTCTGTATTTGCCAAAGACTTAATGTATTTTTATTTGCTACATGATACATGCTTCTAAAGACAGGTTTGGAAATTTCAGAGAGAAGTAGAATGATAGATACACTCCCTATAGATTCAGTTATTGCTTCTGTCACCAGTTCTCTGGGGATCTTCATAGGTCCTGACTTACAAATATCCATATGTCACTATCCAGGAGAAGGAAGGTCCTGATACAGCCAAAGCCAGCTGGTTTTGTTCTCTCTGGGCACAACGCTTCTGTCATATTTTCCTTCTTGGACATTCTTTCCTCCTATCATGAAGGAAGTGTTTTACTTTGGATCTAGTCTAAACCAGTGTCTCGGAAGCTGATATGCATATGGCTCACTTGGATGTTTTGTTAAAATGCAGATTCTGTTTCCAGAGTGTGGCCAAGGTTTTGCATTTCCAACAAGCTCCTGGATGATGCCTACGAGGCTAGTCCATGGACCACACTCTCAGTAGCAAGGATCTCTAGGTTTTAATTGTCGACAGTCCCAGAGAGACAGATGGTGGGGAAAGGTGAGCAATAAAACAGAGATTAAATGGAGGAGCAACATTTGTTCATTGATCACTATGATTACTTTGGCCAGTGTCCAGTTAAGTTCAGATAGGGGGCAGTGCACATTGATTAAGAAATTGGGCCCTGCGGTCATCTTTCTGCCACCCACCAGCTGAGTCACGTGAGCACATGACCAATCCCTCTAAACCTCAGTTTCTGAAGTTATGACATGCAAATAATATGAAAATTTACACTATAGGGTTATTGTGATGATTAATATAATGTACATACTTAATAAGGGTTTGCTAACTATTAGCTATTAGTAGTAATAATCCAGGAAGCATTTATTGAACATCTACCACATGCCTGGCATGTTAAGGTAGAGATGGAAAGATTAAAAGCCAGCTCTTTAATTTCAGAGGAGATTTAATTGGTTTATTTGAGAGTCCCCAGAGTTGAGCTAAGATCTAAAACTTTTGACTCCAGGGCCAGTGCCCTTTCTGTCCACATGCTCATTGGCTATTTCTTATATTGGGTAGCTATAAGGAAACAAAGCTGGTTTCAGACCAGCTTTAATTAAGTAAAAGCCATGTGCTGAATCAGTGAATTGAACATGTTCTGACTTTTAAGACCAAGTGATTTACATTTAGTTCCTGTGTTTGAGCGAGGTATCTCTGAAGATGGAAATCAAAGGGCAGGTTTTCATTTTGTTTTGTTTCGTTTCTTTATCAGCTGAAACTTTTTCTTGGGTAACTAGAACTGAATGATATCAAAGGCAGGTATAATCAATTTTTATTCTGGCAGATCAAATTCTGAGCATATACATGCCTTCCACTTTTGGCATCTATCTTTCTGAAAGTGAAATCCGGAAAGTGATTTCAAAAGGACTCTGTTTTCACATGAGCTAACTTGTTTCTCTAATAGAGACTAAAAATTTTGCATCCCGTGTCTTTTCCAACAATTGCCCAGCATGAGTGTGTGTGTGCCTTTGAGGAGCTGGGTATTCCTGCTTTGTGTCCATCTTTTCTACATTTTTTTGGAACCCTGTCTTAAAAAGGAAATGATCACTGACCCAGAATTTCTCTTTTCTTTATCTGATTGTTTTTTCTAGTTATTGAGCCTTCCATACTTTCTCTGAACTTACAATAGTTTTCTTTGTGACACATACTTTTGTAGTTTTTTAAAGACGATAATAGTTCCCAGTATGATTTCTGTGTTTGTGAAAACATAATTATCTCACTGAGCAGAGTCTTCAGAAGAAAACAGTGGAATTAAAGTAATATTCAATGTAGACGTCGGTAGATTGCTTTCTTTAAGTGTTTTGACAATGTCTTTTCCCCTTTTCTTTTTAGTATAGGCAATTTGTCTATTTTTGTTATAAGAAATGTAAAAATGGTTTTTGCCTCTGGTTTTTCTGCCATGGGATCAAGGAAAATTACCTGCCCTTTCTTTGAATATTGATTGATTTTTACAACTCAGGTCATTATTCCTATGCCATTGCTGATTTTAAAAAAATCTTTATTGGGATATAATTTATAAACCATGAAATTCACCCACTGAAAGTGAACAATTCAAGATTTTTAGTGTATTGACGGAGTTGTCTTTGCAGATTTTTGCTAGCACGTTGTTCCCTTCTCTTTCTACTGTGTATGCTTTAGTTCCTCTGTATTAACATTTCTTTAATGAATTTTGCCACTATTTATAGTTTTGGGCAGATGTAAGTACCATAACAATGACTTTTTAACAGCTACTAACTTAAGGCACATCCTGATTACATCGTATGTTTTTATTCACTTTATATTAATGCCATTTTAATGGTGAATCAATAATCTGTCAACTATGCCTATGCATTCTTAAGCCTGGCATGTTCTTCATTACCCCTTCCATCCTTTCTTCCCCCCGAACCTCACCGTCGACACACATCCAGTTTAGCTTGTTTACCTTAAATATTGCATTGCTTCTTAAATGTGACAGACAGAATTCTGGTGGTCCCATTAAGGCATTACTTTACACAGCTGAAACTCATCTGGAAATCATTGTTCCCTGTAGCAACTTTATAGAGAGCTGGTTTTCTGTTTAGCAGAATATAAATTTGTGATAGAATACCATAGTTTAGCTGGGTAATTAAAAATAACCAAGTAAAAGTGATGTTACTTATCCTACAAAATCATATTTGGGGCAGCCCAAACTTATTTTTACTGAAGACTTTTTAGCTCTAGGACCACAGCATCAAGACCACTCTGGCAGAAGGGGGTGGAAAGGTAAAGTCTAAATGCCTTAACATCACCTGCCTTGTACTCTATGTCCAGGTACACTGCACCTTTTTCATTTCTTCAAACATATCATGGTTATGGAGTTAAAATACAGTGGTCAGATGGGAGAGATATTTAGAATTTGGCTGGATTTATTAATTGATTGGATATAGAGAGTTAGGAAAGAGAATTGCTAAGGATGAGTTCCAGGATTCTGGTTTATGCAGCTGGGTAGATGATGTTTCCAATTTTCTTCAAGAAGAAAACATAGGAAGAGGGAGTGTTTTGTGGTTAGAAGATGATGAATTCTGTTTTGAGCATATTGAGATGCTCTATGGGATCACCCAGTGGGGAAGTTCCTAGGCAGCTGGATAGATAGGTCTGAAGATCAGGACAAGGATCGCAGTTGGAAACAGTTACTGAGAGCCCAGTAGATGCTAGTGATGGGCAATACAGAGATGGCCTCTCTCTTCAGGGAGCTCCCAGTCTTTTAGGGGAGACAGAAGCCAAGAGGAAAGGAATGTATTCACTAGTGGTATCCCTGAGTAAAGGAAACATCAGCATGTATTTTAACCATTAGAGTGGATGAGATCACCCTGAGAAGAGTGAGAAAGAATAATCCTGGGACCCTGAATAATATTAGCATGTAAATTTTGAGCACAAGAAGAACAGCATCAAAGAAGACTTCATCTCAGTTGGCAGAGAGGGAGGAGGAAAACTAGAGGAGTGTGAGAACATGTAAGCTGAGGAAAGAGACCCTCAAGAAGGATGCAGTCAAGGGTTGTGCAACAGAAAGATTAAGTGAGATAAGAATGGGGAAGTGTCCTTCGTATTCTGGAATATGCAGGTGGTTATGAACTTTGGAGAGAGCTGTTTGGTGGAGTGTACAAATGGAGGCCAGTGGCAGCAAGTTAAAGAAGGAGGAGGGATGAACTAGAAGGAGGAAGTAGACAACTTTCTTAGGAAGTTGACTTTGAAAAGGGGGTGAGAGACATAGCTGGAAAGCCCCATAAATACCAGTCTATGTAGTTGAGTGCTGTTTCTGCAGCCCCTGTTTAGAAGCCTTGGGGTAAGTGCCAAGAAGGCAGATAGTTCGTGTGGCCCAGGATTGAATTTCTCCAGATGACTGCAAAAGAAGGACATACAAGCAGAGATTTTTGGGCAAATGAAGAGTCAGAGATGGACTGCATGCTCTCAGTTGGATGAACAGGGTGTGAGGTCTAGAAGGAGCTGGTGGCGAGTTAACACCTTGTTGGAGATATAGTAGTAGCTGAGTCTCAAGGGTGACCTTGGATAAAAGTTGCCTGCACAGCTGTCTCACCAGATAGGATGGAGATTTCCTGGTTTTAATAAGGAGCGAGTCACAGGGCAAATCTCTGGTCATTTTGTCATAAGCCCTACATTTGAGATGTTTTGCCACTTGGAAGAAGGATGTAATATCACTAATATTTATGTTCATCCATCACACTGGAGAAAAATGGAAGTGTTATCTCTATTGTTCTGGTTGTATTATTTCCTTTTCTAGCTTTACTTCTTTTGTTAAAATTAGCCAGAATTGACTTATCTTCAATTCTAATAAGTAGTTTGGTTAGACACAAGGTGAGAAGACTGGTTTCCAGATATGAGATTTTGATGAGGATAGTTTATGGAGAATTGTATACATCTGAATATGAAGGCAGTAACTTACAGGAGATGGAAAAAGCAGGGAACATGAAGTTGAGGGGTCAGGACTGAGTCTCAGACCAACAGTTTCACAGTATGACCTTAATCACTTTGAGTTATTACTTCTTCAATGAAAAGAAGGTTAAAAATAATAGTTTCCCCTGTAGGATTATTAGGAAAATTAAGAGATATGTGTACAGAATGCTTTGTAACCCAGAAAGCATTACACACATGTTCCTTGTGCTGCCCAAACTGTGAGCAGTTCTAAGTCTTATTCATATTCATTCATTCCCATTTGATTCATTCAGAAACAGTGACTGAGAACCCAATAGACACCAGTGACTCAGGATTTAGAGACAGCCTCTCCCTTCAGAAAACTCAGTCTTCCAGAGGAGTCAGAGACCAAGTGGAAAGGAGTGTACTCAATGAACTCACTTGGATGCCATAGAAACACTGAGAGAAAAGGCACCTAAACCAGCCTGGGCTGTCAGGGGAGGCTTTCTGGAAGAGGTGACACCTGATATGAGTCCCAATGGATGATAGGAATCAATCAGGCAAAGATGGGGTTGGAGGAACGCAAAGCTGCAGACGGAGCAGCCTATTGAAAGGCTGAGTTTGGAGAGCATGGAGCATGTTTGGTTCAGTCCAGCTGAGCAGGGAAACGTAATACAAAAACCTCAACTATGAATCACAGGGAGAGAGAAGCGGTAGAAGGGAACATATGTGTAATTGAGATACTTGAGAATGTTTTAAGTGGTAATAGGGGAAAGTCACAGGATCAGGAGAAGTTGATGAGGGAGTTGACTGATGAAATAATGAGAGGACGGTTGGAAACAAGCAAAGGTGGGAGACAGGAGAGGCAGAGGAGGGGTCTTCTTCCAATGTTTTGGTGGGAAAGGAGTCAAAATCACAAATAAGGTGAGGGACATTGAGAGATTCTGCCCTTAAAGCCTCCCTTGTCATGGTAAAGTGAAATGCATGAGGTTATTTTATATTCTCAGTGCCTAGCATGGTGCTCAGCACATAGAAGGTGTTCAATAAATATCCATTGAGTGAACTACTGTCATCCTGAGAAGCTGCTTAAGAAGCCCTGCAAAGCGGCTGCACTGGAAAGCAAGGTGGCTTATCAGTCTGGCTGGTGCACACCGACTCTCTTTCCAGTTCGTCAAAGTTTGGCAGCCTGCCTTTTAACTTGCCATTTCTTGTTAGTATTGATGCAACCCATGTGCTTCTGACCCTTGGGAATGTCGTCACAGGATTCAGGTGTCCTGAGAATATCTCTGTTCCTTAGTACTATGCATAGGAGCAGCGGTTGAACAAAGACCAAACTAGTTCTTTCTCAGTGAGGCTGGCAGCCTGTCCACACCCACTGAGCAGAGTCTGGCTGCAGCTCAGACAAAAGCAGTTTATCCAGCCCATCTGGTTGTCTTTCTTACACATTTCAGACATGGTTCAAAGCTGCATTATAAAGAAATAATCCACCCCTGAAACAGGCTTGTATGGGCAAGCAGAGTGCAACAGAGGTGTGAGTTCTAGTCTCATCAATCCTTTGTCTGTATGCTTCTGAGCCTCTGTCTTCTCAGTGCATTGAAGAGGTTGGACCAAATGAATGCCTAGATCATCATGTGTGCCAGGCATTACAGACCAGGTTTTGTATTCATTGGTTTCTTCAGTCTAAAAGTTGTATGCTCAGTTCTTACTCAGTGTCTGCCACCAAATATGTGCACCATACAGGTTTTGAATTGAATTGAGTTGCATTAATTTCTATTCTTTCTAAGACACATACACACATATAGTAAAATACTGCCCACTGGTTATGTAATTCATTTCCCTCATTTAATTCATTTCTTCTCAACAAATACTAAAGATATGAGAGAGATCAGATTTGATTTCTTTCAGAGATGGCAAGATATTAAAGCCTCTGAAGTGTGGGGTAAGAAGAACTAGGAGGTCTGTGCAGGCTCAGAGAAAGTAGGCTGTGATCACAGATTAATGTTTGCCATGGAGATGTAACTGGGAAGTCTGGCCACAAGTTTCATTTATTGTCATTCTGAGTTCTCAAAGAGCTTACAGCTCAGCAAGAGGGAAAGAGCTGCAAATAGATAACTTCGGTTTAGCCAGAAAAAATGTCAGATTTGTATGATAGAGACCACAGAAATAAAAATTCACTGAGTCCCTTTTGGACTCCTTGCTAACTGCGTTCTCCTCCCACCTCTCTTGCTAAAGGTTACCACTCTTCTAAAGTTATTGTGTATCATTTCCTCAATTAGTTTTTATGTCATACTTCCATATATATTTATCCATAGACAACCTAACAGGATTGTTCTATGTTTTTAAATCCTAAACAAAAACTGTAAGCTGGATTTTTCCCACCAAACTTTGTATTGACATTTATTCATGTTGATACATGTAGTTCTAATGCACTTATTTTCTCTGCTGTATAGCATTCCATTTAAAACATTCATTTACCTATTCTCTGATAGATGGATATTTTCAGTTGTCTAATTTTCTTTCTTTCTTTTTTTTTTTTTTTGAGACGGAGTCTCGCTCTGTCGCCCAGGCTGGAGTACAGTGGCGCGATCTCGGCTCACTGCAAGCTCCACCTCCCAGGTTCATACCATTCTCCTGCCCCAGCTTCCCAAAGAGTAGCTAGCACTACAGGCGCCCATCACCATGCCCGGCTAATTTTTTGTAGTTTTAGTAGAGATGGGGTTTCACCGTGTTAGCCAGGATGGTCTCGATCTCCTGACCTCGTGATCCGCCTGTCTTGGCTTTCCAAAGTGCTGGGATTACAGGCGTGAGCCACCGCGCTTGGCCATGAAATTACTTTCTAAAAGGTTATTTTAATTCACAGCAGTGCATGAGAGTTCCATTTCCTCACCAATACATTGTAATTTTATACTTGGAAAAATTTTCCGATCCAATGAATGTAAAATAGTATCTCATTGTTTCAATACGACTTCCCTGATTACTGGAAAGGTTGAGCATGTTTAAAGTTTTATTGACAATTTAGAATTGATCTCCTATGGGTTACCTGTATATGCCCCTGGCCCTTGTTCTTTGTATTTTTTACATTTTTCTTATGTTTTTATAGGAGTTCTTTATACATTCTACTTATGTCTTCTCCCAATCTGGTGTTCTTACAAATTTTGTGTGTGTGTGTGTAATTTTCCCATTTGTTCAATGAACGTTTTAAACTTTAGAGTAGTTGAATTTATAGCTTTTCCTTTATGGTTTGTGCTTTTTATTCCTTTCTGACTCTAAGGTCTTAAGAACATTCTTCTATATTTCAAATGTTTACATGTTTGTAGTTCATGTTTAGCTCTTTAATCCTAAAAATATTTGTTGTTCATATTTGGGACTATAATATGGAAACTATTCTTATTGGAGCTTTGAGGTAGAGAACTAATTTTATTTTATATTTCTCTGAATTGCCAATAGTCTCAGCATTGTTTATTAAACAGTTTATTTTTCTCCATTATTTTTTTCATTTCACTTTTGTCATATGCCAAGAACTCATATTTGAATAGGTTTGTTTTGGGGGGGGTCCCTACTTGGTTCAGTTCATCTATTTCTGTGCCAATAATGTAAAATTTTATTTCTTTCAGGTTCGTAATAATTATTGATCTACCTGATAGGGCAAGTCTTATCTACCTATTATAATTTCTCTGTTACAGATTCCAGGATCATATTGTCAGGTTCTGTAAGAAATTCTTAGGAATTTGAATCAGTAGATTTCCTTTGAGGAAAAGCAACCTTTGTTTACTAATTCAACCACATTAATTAAGCTTTAGGATGTTGTTTCAATCTTATAGCCTCCATTTATTTCTAATGAGAAGTTTATCGTCATTAGTGTGGTTCTCCTGAACACAAGCTATTTTTCTCTGGCTGCTTTCAAAATTGTCTTTTTTCTTTACATGACAGCAGCTTGACTTTAATGTACCTCGGTGTAATTTTCTTTGCATTTATTCCTGTTTGGGATCCGCTGAACTTCTTCAACCTGTAAATTTATTTCTTTCACCAAATTTAATGAATTTTTTATCATTATTTCTTTACACATTTTTTTTTCTGCCCCATTTTCTCTTTACCCTATCTTTCTGGGATTCAAATTATATGCTTGTTAGATTTTTAAAGTATTATCACATACAATACTAAGGCTCTGTTCATTTCTTTAAAAATCTTTTTTCCCCTCTGTCTGTCCTTCAGATTGGATAATTTCTATTGTTGTCTTCAGGTTTATTGACCCTTTCTTCTGTCATTGCTATTCTGCTGTTAAGCCCATCCTGCAAATTTTTTCTTTTCTCTGGTGAGATTTTCTACTTATTCGTTCACTAAAACCATATTTTCCTTTACATCCTTGAGCATTATTATAATAGTCACTTTAAATAATCCTTCTCAGCTAATTTCAACATGTCAGGATTGGTCTCTACTCTTCACAATGGAGCACATCTTTCCGTTTCTTCTATGTGTAGTAGTTTTAGGTGACATTGTGACTGACATGTTGTAGAGACTCTGAATTCCTTTATACTTCTTTCCAGAGTTGGGATTTTTTGTTGAGTTTAGTTTTGTTTTCCAGTCATTTAACTTGCTTGGACTCAAACACCAAACCCCATCTGTCCTGTGGTGGGCAGTAGCAGAAATATCTGTTAAAGTCATTTTAGTACTAGCTGAGTTGCATTGGAATGTATCCCATGCCTATGTAGTTCAAGCGTCAGCCTATGCAAAATTTGGGGCTGTCTCCCTCTCTGTGGCTCTCTCCTTTCTAGGATTTCTGGCCTCACTTTTCAGCTGCTGTGATTGCTGTGAAGTTTGTTCTTTGTTTCTTCAAGCTGGAAATCTATGGACTTTCTATCCGAGTTTTAGTCACTCAAGTTGACATGGTCTGGGACCAGCCCTTATACAAAAACAATGCTGTTTCTTTCTTCCAAATGTAGGTTTCCTTGCAGTTTCATATATATATTCCAGAATATGTAATTATCTGTGGGATGGTAAATCTAATAAAAGCACTACCTCAATTACTGAAAGCTAGACATTGTGATCTTGGATAATTTTTATGTACAGTTTTTCATTTTGTAGTTAACCACAGTTCCATGTAGTTTCTTCCCAGGGATGCTGGGTGTGGTTATTTAGTCCCTTTTAAATAGGCAGTGTAGCTCGCTGAAGCTCTGGGTTTTTTTGTAAGAGTGTCACTTCCAGGCTGCTGCCTCCCATGATTCTGAGATCTTATCTCCTAAAATTTATGTGAGGCAACAGAACTGTAATCTCAGATGCTTATCTGAGATCCAGAACCCTTTGGGCCCTACAGCTTCAGTTCCAGTGTGCCCATCAGACTTTAGTTTCTTCATTCTTAGACACTGTAGGTTTTTTCTTCATTATTGTTTTTGTTGCTGCTGCCACTGCTGTTAACCTTGAATAAATCTTTTCTTAAAACAATTACAATTTACCTAACAATTCTGTGTTTTCAGTAGAAATGGAGCATATGTATTAGCTTGATTCATTTTGTTTCCAGAAGTTTGTAGCAGTGTTTTCTATAGTGGACAACATCAGACCATTCCCAAATCCAACTGTTGCTGCTAGTTCCTGTGCTTAGGGGGGACATGATTCAGGTAGGAATATATGGACTTTGGGCAGGGGTCTTACTGATAGCTCTTAGAATAACTAGGGGCATAGGAACAACTAACATTATTTTAGCATCTAGTATAGCCCAAGCTCTAAGCCACGCAATATTACTTCCATTTTACACATTAGGAATCTGAGACACAGAAAGACAGAAATAACTTGTTTCACCATAAGGAGAGTCATATTTCAAGTTACTTCACTCAAAATCACATATCTACCATGGTACTGTACTGCCTCAACAAACATTTTTAGTAATTACATAGATGGCCAAAAAATTGAAATTGTGCTATGTCTACTAGCAGTTGTGACAGAATTCAAAAGCTAATCAGCACTGGAGAGTGTTTGGAGGAGATTACAATGTGAGTTTGCCAGATCCATTCTTCTCATACGTGAAATTCATGGGTTATCATTGAAAACACTCTCTGTACTGCCAAAACTCACACCAACAGAGGTTGCTTCCCTGTTGCTTTGAAGGGAAGTGAAAGAAAGGAATGCATGAATATTCCGTTCTTGGCCATGAAGAAACTGAGTATTCATTTAACATCCAAGGATGTTAATTTTAGAAGTCTGACCACAGTTTTTAGCAATATTAACTACCTTTCTTTTATAAAGAAGAATTTTCCCTTTGACTTAAGTCAATCCAGCGGTTGTACAAAGTCTGACTTACACGTAATAAACTTATTAACAGGCTTTGAAGTCAGGAGTAATCCTCCCATATTTTCTCTTCAAATACAAATCTTTATAATGTGCCTTGTCATTTACAGGGGCAGGAATAAATCTTCTTAGACGTTGACTCGGAATCCTCATCTAAATGCCCTTGGCATTTGGGCTAGTTTTTGTCTTCTGGGTGATGTCACTTAGAATATGTTGTTTTTCTAACATTTAGTAATGTTGAGAGAGGAGTTTTTAAAATTTTAATCTATCTATTGTAAAGTCCTAAACACAGACAACTTCATATTCATGTAAAACAGATATTTTAATTTTCAGTTTTTAGGTGAGGAAGTTGAGCACCACCTAAAGTTACTTTGCCCAAGTTAATCAAGGCAGAAATAATAGCAAATTAGATCAGATTGTTGGGTGACCCTTACAGTCACTTACCTGTCTGTGCCTTCAGTTTCCTTGCTTAAAAGGGGCTAAGAACAGCAGTTACTTCATAGGTCTGTTGTAAGGACAGATTGAGTTAATGCATGCAAACCACCTGGATCACTGCCTGGTACATAGTAAACATGATGCAAGTCTGCTTTTTAAAAATTACTGTTAAATTCAGCATAAATGAATTTCTGCAGGAGCCAGGATGGTTCAGAAAAAAACAATGAACAAAACATGGGCTTTGGAATCCTGGTTCTAACACTATCCTAGCTCAAGTTTCCTGTATAGAGCCTCTAAGGTTGCATAGTAGGGTTGAATGGGAGTAGTTATAATTCTAGAGGAGAAAAAAAAAAAAAAGAGAGGAAGAGAAGAGAGGCAGGGAAGAAGGCAAAGCAGTCATTTCCTGGCTGGCCATAGCTTCCCACAAAAAGCAGCCAGTTGCTCCATCACATAGAACATCATCCAGATCGACTGTTTTGTATCAGTGTGCTCAGCACAGCCAAGGCCAAAAGGAGAGGGGAGAGGCATGCATCTGCCAGCAACTTAACCTGCCCTAGTATTGTGTCTGAAATTGGTGGGTTCTTGGTCTGCACTGACTTCACGAATGAAGCCGCAGACCCTTGTGGTAAGTGTTACAGTTCTTAAAGATGGTGTGTCCGGAGTTTGTTCCTTCTGATGTGCTTGGAGTTTCTTCCTTCTGGTGGGTTCGTGGTCTCGCTGGCCTCAGGAGTGAAGCTGCAGACCTGCTCCTTGAGTGCCACAGCTCTTAAAGTGGCGCGTCTGGAGTTGTTCATTTCTCCGGGTGGGTTCGTGGTCTTGCTGGCCTGAGAAGTAAAACTGCAGACCTTTGCCATGAGTGTTACAGCTAATAAAAGCAGTGCAGACCCAAAGCCTAAACAGCAGCAGCAAGATTTATTGCAAAGAGCAAAAGAACAAACCTTCCACCGTATTGAAGGGGGCCCCAGCTGGTTGCCAGTGCTGTCTTGGGCAGCCTGCTTTTATTGCCTTATCTGGGCCCACCCACATTCTGCTGATTCGTCCATTTTACAGAGAGCTGATTGGTCCATTTTACAGAGAACTGATTGGTCCATTTTGACAGGGTGCTGATTGGTGCATTTACAAACCTTGAGCTAGACACAGAGTGCTGATTGGTGTATTTTCAATCCTTTAGCTAGACATAAAGGTTCTCCAAGTCCCCACTAGATTAGCTAGACACAGAGCACTGACTGGTGTATTTACAAACCTTGAGCTAGACACAGGGTGCTGATTGGTGTGTTTACAGACCTTGAGCTAGACACAGAGTGCTGATTGTTGTATTTACAATCCTCCAGCTGGACATAAAAGTTCTCCAAGTCCCCACCAGATTAGCTGGACACAGAGCACTGATTGGTGCGTTTACAAACCTTTAGCTAGACACAGAGTGCTGATTGGTGCATATAGGATCCTCCAGCTAGACATAAATGTTCTCCAAGTCACCACCCAACTTAGGAGCCCAGCTGGCTTTGCCTAGTGGATCCCGTGCCCAGGCTGCAGGCTGAGCTGCCCGCCAGTCCCGCGCTGCGAGCCTGCACTCCTCAGCTCTTGGGCAGTCAATGGTACCAGGTGCTGTGGAGCAGGGGGTGGTGCCCGTGGAGGCTCCGGCTGTGCGGGAGCCCGCGGAGGGGAGGGGCTCGGGCATGGCAGGCTGCAGGTCCCAAGCTCTGCCCCGCGGGGAGGCGGCTGAGGCCCAGTGAGAATTCAAGCGCAGTGGGGCGGGCCGGCAGTGCTGGGGGACCCGGCGTACCCTCCGCAACTGCTTGCCCGGTGCTAAGCCCCTCACTGCCCGGGGCCGGTGGCGCCAGCCGCTCTGAGTGCGGGACTTGCCGAGCCCACGCCCACCCAGAACTCGCGCTGGCCTGTGAGTGCAGCAGGCAGCCTGGTTCCCACTGGCGTCTCTCCCTCCACACCTCCCTGCAAGCAGAAGGAGTTGGCTCTGGCCTCCGCCAGCCCAGAGAGGGGCTCCCACAGTGCAGCGGTGGGCTGAAGGGCTCCTCAAGCGCAGCCAGCGTGGACGCCATGGCCTGAGGAGGTGCCAAGAGCGAGTGAGGACTGCTAGCACGTTGTCACCTCTCAGTATCACACGCTGTGTGACTTGCTTCCCTGTACTCCTCTTACCCCCCTGATGTACAACTCCTGAGGAAGCAAGAGAACACGTCCCTGGTGCAGCACTTCAACTGAATCCAAAAACATCTGGATGTGCCAGTGCCTCTGAGGGTCTGGTTGGAGGTCAGTGGAGCCCACGTGCTGTGCTGCATGCCATGGAGGCTGTGCCAAAGCCCTGCTCTTGCCCAGAAGGAGGCTGAGATTGTTGGTGGCATTAGGAGAAGAAGTGAGAGCAGTTGTGACTGGGGATCTTTACTGAGCAGAGGCCAGGGATGCAGATGGACCCAGCCCATCTGGAGGCCTGCATACAGGGACCAGTCCCACCACTCACAACTGTGCAGCCTCAGTAAGCTCCCATGGCCCCAGTGAGATTGTTGTGAGGATTGGAAGTAATACCTGTAACGTGCCTTTCAGTACAGGCACTCAGGAAATGACAGATCATATTTTCTTAACCATCAACATTTGAAATAGATGTCAATTTCCTTTAACATTTGTATTTGACTCTGGAAGCAAAGTTTGAATTCAAAGATATGACTGAGATGAGCTAGAAGCTGACACCACTGCAAAGAGGGAAATATTTAACTCTAGGATATATTAAAGGAAATTAGAAAGCTCATGCCAGAGAACAAATGCCGAGGATGTTTTTAAAAGGTCGTCCAAAGAGGTCAAAGAATTTAGGAAAAGTCATGAGAATCAAGAAATGCTTTTAATGCCCCAAAACGTGTGAGTTATATCCTAATTCAGTATTGGATAGTGAAACAGCTGTCTACAAGGTTGTCCTTTCTGGAAACCATGATGTCTTATGGGATTTCTTATTGCCTCCATGGCATAAAGCTGCCTTGGTTTTCTTGGGTTATTATTAAAAATGGCTGGGATAGATCATTATCAGAAGTATCCTAATGACATACTTACTAGTTGAGATTAGCTAATGGCAGAAATTGTGGAAATTTTAAGAGCTATGTAACCATTTTGCTTTATGTCATTATAGATGTGTTTTTGTTTGTTTCTTTGTTTTTAGCTAGGGGAAAAAAAGAGAACGTGAGTTCAACTTCTATTCTGTGGGCACAGTGAGTCCAAAGTATTTAGCACCAGTCTGTATATCTCAGGGATAAAAGCAGCGTCAGCATTAGGCCACGTGGAGGGTGTGATATAAAACCAGGAGAGAAGGATAAGTAAGTGGAAGATTGCTGGGCTCTGGGCTCCCTGAGATCAGACTAGATGTGGAGCTCAGTGGAAGGGCTGTGTTTGGGAGTCAGACTTCTGACTCTTAGAACCATAGACATAATAGCAAGCTGGACTCACAGGTTATGGGCAGGAAAGGCGGCTGGGTGATTCCATGTCTTGGAATCTCCTTTTCTTGGCACGGGCACAGGTGGAAGGCAGAAGAGGAGCAGGTGCATGGCTTTTGGGTCAGCCAGAGCCAGGCTGAGAGCTGACTTACTGACTTTCTGACTCTTCACCTCTGTCAGACTGTCTGCAAAGTGGGAATGATGACAGTACTCCTCATGAAGTTGCTGTGAGGATCATTTGACATGATGCATGAAAAGCCCTCAGCAAAAGCCTGGCACACAGGAAGCTTCACTAGCAGTTTGCTGTGTTAGCTGTGATTGCGTTGGCAGCCAATCTGTTTCTAACATGTTACACGCCTCTCAGGGGCTTTTCAACCAGAAGGCTTCTACATCTGAGTGTGTCTGTGGTATGCGAGGGAAAATAATATCTCTTTGTGTCATTTACTGAATAACCTGGAGCTGACAGCTTTCTCTATGGACAGCTCATTGATTATGTCACTTAATCAACAAACGTATTGAGTGGGTGCTCGGCTGGGTGTCTGTGGTGAATGCCCATGACTCTAACCCTCCTCCCCAAAGAGTGTCCCTGTCTAGTGGGAAGACAGATGTGTCAGTGCATCAGCACATGATTGCGGCTCAGTGGACGTGCTTCTTCACTTAAAGGTCTTGAGAGTGCAACCATGAACCTATGAAAATATATGCAAAATGCTGTGTGTGAGCCCGTGCTCATTTTTTTCTGGGGTTGTGGGTTCATAGATTTCATCAAAGTTGCAAAGGATGCCGGACCTCAAAGGGAGCAGGAGCCACTGTTGTGAGAAAAGTGGAGAGCGCTATGGGGATGCCAAGGAAGGATTGCATAACCAGCCAGGGAGAGCAGGTTGGATGAGGCCAGGAAGACATGCAGGGAAAAGGAAGCATTAGCTGGGTCTGACTGGCTAATGCCTTCCATGATTGTTTTTGCAGAGGAAGGCTTACTGGTTTCTCTTATACTTAGTGTAGTACAGTCCAGAAATTTCAGGACTGGTTGAATGACAGAGACCCATTCTTAGAGTAGCCCAGCCAGAAAGACAGTTGCAAGATGGTATGTTAGTTTTGGGAGCTAAATAAGAGATGAAAAGCAGGATAAACTCTCCTAAGATTATTTTTTCAGGGGTCAGCTTTTAATAGAATTAAAGATGACACTAGCAACCAAGATGATTTTTGCCTGTAGATGAGTATCCATGATCACATTTGCTCCTCACAGCTTCCCAAGGGAGGAAGCATGAGTGGAACATTTCACAGAGGGACACTGCAACCCTGGGGCTGGTAGTTGCCCAGGTTACACTCATAGTAAGGATAGAACAATTCTAGGTCATTTGATCTTTCCCTTATACCATTGACATCTCATTTTCTGTCCAAGGTACATAATCACCTTCCATTAATATTTGCAGAAGCAATGTTCCTTTTAAAAAAAAAGTCAAAGATCCAAGTAAACATCAGAGGATATTTAAAATGTATTTTCTCAAAATATATAGTCTGGAATGTAAAATATGTTAATATCATTTACTTTATTCAAAGTCAGCTAAACTCAAAAAATATTTATCCAAGTCGTATTATATTACTAAAGATTGAGTTTAGTACTTGAATCCACATTTATAATTTTTATATCTCAGAGAGCATCAAGTCAGTTCCAGATATAGAGTTGCTGTATGATGTGTTTTCATAGGTTATATATTATGGATCCTTTAATTTATTTCATCATCATGAAAAAATGGGAAAACAAGATATCCCCATAACTCAGTTTGGGTTTAAACTATCTAATCATAATTTTTTTTTACGTTCATACATTATGATATAATTTTTGGCTTAGGAATCCATTGCATTTATTTATCTCAG
Organism: Homo sapiens; assembly: GCF_000001405.40. Taxonomy (NCBI): domain Eukaryota; kingdom Metazoa; phylum Chordata; class Mammalia; order Primates; family Hominidae; genus Homo; species Homo sapiens. The sequence continues at coordinate 171,742,521 of NC_000003.12, read as the reverse complement.
TTAAGTACAATAGCAGCTAGAAAAAAATGAATTTTTGCATATTATGTTAGAAAGGGAGCAATAAGTAAATCGTAACTATGTTCATAGAGTGAATGTGGGTTGTTTTTATTTTAAAAATTGTTTTACTTTTTAGCCATGCGTAGTGGCACATGCCTACAGTCTTAGTTACTCTGGAGGCTGAGGCAGGCAGGTCACTTGAGCTCAGGAGTTCAAGGCGGCATTGAGCTATGATCATACCACTGTACTGCAGCCTGGGCAAGAGAGCAAGACCCTGACTTTAAAAAAAAGTTTTAAGAGTATATGAAGAAAATTGTAAAAGTCTCCCAGTGCCCATCTTTCCTCCCACCCCAGTCCCACCTCTGGATTGGCAAGTAGCTGGGCTTTGAGGTCAGATCAAATTGATCACCAGCTTCATCACTTCCCAGCTGTGTGGCCCTGCCAAGTTTCTACCTTCTCTAAGCTACTCATTAAAAATGCTAGTAACAATGGGACCCAGCTCCTAAAGTTATTGTGAAGATTAAATGAGATCATGATATTAATCACTTTGTACAAAACCTGGCATGTAGTACATATTTAGCAAATACTGGCTAATGTTCATATTTATGTTAATATCAATAATTATAGTTGATATTATTATTGTATTTTGGCTAAGGCAATGTTTATCTATTTGTTATCTGAAAAGGAAAGTATCTGCTTCTCTTTGATGTTCTACTTCCCAATCTTGTTGAAAATCAAGAATAGAAAATTATCTGATTTCATCACTGAATAACTGGAGGTCATTAAATCTTCCCTGCAAAGATTTTCAGTTCTATAATTCAAAACGAGAATAAAAAAACCCTTATTTGCTTTCCAGATACAAATGCAAACAGAAATAAAACACAGCTGCTCTTATCTCTCCATGGGCACCATCTCTTCTTGGTACTGAAAGAGATAATGATCTTGCAGTATAATTTTATAAGGAGGTAACAAAATCAATTGCATTATCTCAAGTGTAAACACTGAAGCCCTTATCCCATTGCTGGCTAATATAGGCTGTGCCTGTGGCAGCTGCTCACCCCCTATTATAGATTATTTTAGATGAAAGAAAACATTGACTGATAAATGAAGATTTGACAACATAGGAGCGTAGATAGTTTTGCAGCTTGATATTCAAGAATGAAACCAACAATACAATGGTTGGATGAAAAGTCAGCACACAATGCCCATGGACATAAGTAAAGGTAGAGATAGACAAATCACTTCTTTCATTGTCTATTATTAAATAGTAAAGTCTTTACAAAAGCATGAACAAGTCTGCAAATGCATTGGGTCCATTGAAGTTCCACATGATCTTATAAAATATTATAAACCATAAAAGTAAAAGGCTAAGAAGAAACTCAGGAAGCTGTTGAGATATGTTGTTTTCATAATTGAGGTGACTGTGGGATTAGTATGATCCCTTCCAAGGTATGGTGACTAAAGTAGAGGACATGTCTTGTCACAGGACTTAAACTTCATATAAAAGATGAATTTAGATTTATAGACATTCAAGCCCATAAAATAAAAGTAATTATGGGCCTCTGTAACCAACTCCATAAGATTTTAGAGCCAGACAAAATCTGCTTTATAAACTCAACACTGACACAAGTTGAGTGACCTTGGACGATTGTTTAACTCAATCTCTCAGAATAATCATACCTACCAGGTAGGGTCATTGTGAGTATTAAATAACATAACTGTGCTAAAATTGTGTTTAGCATGTAATAAACACTTGATAAATGATAAGATGTTTTCTTTGTTTCATGTCTCACTCTTCAAGTTTTTCATAAGTGAATATGCTTCTTTTTTCTCTATCTGAAGTCAGATATTTATTTCAGCTTGGTGCATTGGCTCTGTAACACTGTGTAGATTACTGTAGTCTTTGTATTTCTTAAAATTAACAGGCATTTTTAAGATCAGCACATAGTTCAAAAGGAAGGTTATTTGGAGTAACCTTTGTTTTTCTTCACTATGTTAAGAAAGTTGGCAAAGTTAATAAGTCTGTTTAATCAATAAAAAATATCTGAAGTCTTTAAAAATTAACAAGCTGCAATGATATGATGTAATTTCTTATCTGTTTTTCCTTGTCTCTTTTCCTCTAAATTTTTCATTACCTTGTATTTTAAATAAAGTAAAATCTGACACATTGTTAAGTGTTTGTTGAATGAAGAGGAAAGGACATACATATTTTGATTTTGACCAAGGGCAATGGCTCCTCAATGGAGGCTGAATAGATCTTAATTAAGTTATCCAGGTTAGAAAACATTCTGCTACCTGCTTCTCTTACCCAAATGCAAAACTACTCTGATTAATCTCTTGGGATAGGAAAAGGGTTAAAGTAATTAAATTATAAGGGAGGCTGAATACTTTTATGGCATCTCTTATCTACAGTTAGGGTTTTCGTGTTAAAAGAACTCTAGAGATGAAATGGCTCAACCTCCTCAATTTATAGAGAGGAAACAAAGACCCTGGGAATTTAAATGGCTTCATCCTGTGGTAACCGAGTTGCAGGAGATTATTTCCAATTCTTCCTGTTAGGGTTTGCTCTTACATGGACTTGCCCCAGGGTACTTATTTATATTAACTGTTCCATCTATTCCAAAGCACTTACATATCTACAAAGAATAGAGAGCAAGATAAAGGTCGTGGTTGAGAATATCAACTTTTGGGTTAGAGAAACCTGAATTCCAGTCCCTTCTTCACCACTTACCAGCTGTGTGACCTTGACAGATTGTTTAAAATATTGGTCAAGTTACTTAGTCTTTCTTTGCCTCAGTTTCCTTATCTATAAAGAGGGGATGGCAAACTCCTGTCATGCTCAAAATAGAAAAAACAAGCCCTCACAGATTTATTATTAATGACAAATGAGACAATGTATGTAAACAATTATCACCAGCGAGGTGCATTCTAAACATTAGTAACTATTAACTATTATGATATAAATTAGAAGTGGGAGGGAAAGTTGAAGGGAAGAGATAGTCCTATACTTGGCTATATAGTAGGCCACAAATTTGGCTCCAAGCTTTCTTACAGGCAACATAGAGAAAGAAACATGATTGATTACATAGTTCCAGGGAACTTAGATATATGAATTTTATATGTCTGGCCAAACCAGAACCTCCCTCCTTCGCTCCCATTTTTGAATTTCCAAACACAGTCTCTTTCTCCCAGACATAAAAGTATAGGTTTTCGAGACTCATTGAGTTATAATAAGGGCTGTGTAAGTTTGCCTGAGACTTTCTTAGCATTTCCCATATAGCCACTTAGCTTTTTGATAGCACCTGCAGGAGAGACCCAGCTAAGTGTCTTCCCCTGGGCAAATTTCATTCTCAAGAAGCCTAAGACCTTGGAGGAGGCCAGGGGTGAACTTTGGGTTAGATGCCTCATTTTCCTCACCCATATCAGGTGCTCCTTAATCACAGGGGCCTGCCTTATTCACCTTCACGTTTTCATTCATCTCATCTCACATGTGGTGGATGCTCAGTGTTTGTGATTTGCAGTAAGAAAGGAACATGTGCCAAAGAGTTACTGGTATGAGCGTCCTTCCATTCTAGGGCCTGGTTTTAACAGATTATTTCTACATCAGGCAAAACAGATGTTTCATCCAACTCTGATGACAGTGTGCAAAGCTTGAATCTCAATATTTTACATGAAAAATAATATCCATGTGAACTCTTCTGCCCTGGGTACTGATGTGCAACGACTTGTGTTATTAAATGTCAGAATGAAATAGAACTGGTTTTCTTTAAAGAAAAAGAAAGGAGGGAAGTATAATTCTAGCACCTCAGATGTCTTTCGGAATAGGTATATTAATCAATTTCCTTTCAAGACACATACGTCATTATACCTCACGTAAAGTCATGGCCAAAATCTCCTTTCTTGAAGAGGTAATATACACTTTGCTTGGGATATCACCTACAGAGAAAATGTAGAAATATTATGCTATCATAAAAATATTTCTAAATCTATATATTTCAATATGTGAAATACTCTAAATTTTCTTTAGGAAATATTTAGAGTTGCTTATTTTTCATGATATTCTTTCTTCAGCTGTATTTATTACAGCAAATAATCTATTTCTTTCTCTGAATAAGCTTTCCCAAACCAATCTCCCTTGAATTACTTATCCAAGTTAATAAAGTTGGATGAGAGAAATGTTGGCATTCAATGTGGTGTTGCTTTTTTTTTTCTTTTTTTTTTCTCTTGTTTTCAATTAAGCACTCTGTTTTAATTTACAAGTTAGGAATCCTTTAAATGTTAAACAGGAACGTAAACTAAAAGGTTGTTTTGGATAACTGAGGCTCACACAGAGCAGGCTGAATTGTTTCCATATGCTGTATCTAAGTCTGGATTCAAATTGTGGAATAGCATTTTATGTTATCAAAATGCTAAGTCTTTGTAACCGTTTTCTTCTTTCCTAGCCCCTTTGCTTTTACTCTGTCCAAAGTTAACATGTCACTGAAAAACGAGCCACGGGTAAATACCTCTGCACTGCAGAAAATTGCTGCTGACATGAGTAATATCATAGAAAATCTGGACACGCGGGAACTCCACTTTGAGGGAGAGGAGGTAGACTACGACGTGTCTCCCAGCGATCCCAAGATACAAGAAGGTAAAGACGGATGATCTGAGCGGGGAAGAAAAGAGTTTATCTCGGTTGGTCGGAAGACCACAAATTTGAAGTAACCAGCAAATGATTGATTTTCCTTGCAGATGTAACACCGGGCTCAGATCATTTTATAAGAGGCTTACTTGTTTTAACACGTGATTCTTAAAAGAATGCCTGTAAAAGACAAGTTATGCTAATCATATATTGCATTAACTTTATTTACTTTTTTTTTTAGTGTATATCCCTTTCTCTGCTATTTATAACACTCAAGGATTTAAGGAGCCTAATATACAGACGTATCTCTCCGGCTGTCCAATAAAAGCACAAGTTCTGGAAGTGGAACGCTTCACATCTACAACAAGGGTCAGAGCGTTTATGGACTCACCCTTTTTTCTTTTGTCAATATATGTGAATTAGTACATAGCCTTTCATTTTCCTCCCTCTTAGCTATGATCATGTTTGTAGGTTTTTGTTTGTTTGTTTTTATGTATCTATCATTTCCAAGTCATTTTCACCTGTCAAGTTTTTGCCTCCTTCCCATTTAATCTTCATTCTTATATTCCTCTTTCTTCATTTGAGCCAAAGCTCTTTCTTTTAAAAAGGCATGTAAGGCAAATTAACAGTTTAATAAATTGCAAAGTGCCTCTCTTAATCTTCTTCTCTCCCCAGTTTTCTGTTTCATTTGGACTCTTGATGCATATTTATTCCACCTTGCATGGCAGGTATAAGTCAACAAGAATTTTAGCTTTCCTAATGTTTATTTAGCATGAAAATGTTGGTGCTACCTGGCTCTTAAGAAAAAAAGCCGGGATACTGGATCGGCCAGTGCCATTACCTCAAAATACTGTTGAGAGAATTCTGCAGCCATACTCTGCCTCTCTGATTGGTTCCTAGAAAACCATCCTTTAGTCCTCATTCACGTGATATTTCACTGAACGCTGAAAAGGCTTTGGAGTAAAATGTCTTCAACAATCAAAGTTATGCCCTTTGAAATGGATTGGACTAGAAGAAGCTGTTAGGGTAGCTACTTTTCTCTGTTCCTGGCTGGATTTTGCAGTTGTTAAGTCTCCGGGGGAGGACAATTGCTGCAGGGTGGTGACCTTTGTCCCTTCAGGCTAAGATCTAGCCATGGCAGAGTAAGGCCACCACTGCCTCCTGCCTCAGGGGAAGCACAGATTAATAACCAGCTGTCAGGGCATGCTTTGCCTTCCCTTCCTCCTTGTCTTTTGGAGGTGGCATGCGCTGCATTGCTTTCTGGGTGGTTTTGCCTGGTGCTGTGTCCCAGCCTACCTGCACATGTACTGACTCCCAGCTTACACTCATTTTGGTGTCAGCCTCTGGTTTAGGCTTTCCCTGTGACTCGGGTCCATGTCTCCCTGATACACCACTGAGCACAACTCCCTCAGAAATGTCTCTAAGATGAGCTTTGTTTTCTTATTTCACCTGCCAGCATTTAGATTGAAAGATAATAACATGTGGGGGTAAATGACAGACTCTAGAGGCAGACTGCATGGTTTAATTCATCTTTGCCTTGTGATCTTGAATGAGTGACTTAACCTCTCTGTTCCTGTTTCCTCTTCTGAATAAAGGGTATAACAGTGCTTACATTATAGGTTTATTACAAAGATTTAGTAATAATAATACATATGTATTATATTATACAAGTATACACTGTATACTCATTACTGCAGTCACTTTTTCCACCCACCCCTCCTTAACACTGGTGGTTCCTTAGGGTGGGTGGGTGGTATAGACAAGGCTGGACCTTGGAATGTGTTTCACAAGAGAAGGAGAGAAGGCATGTCGTGCCATTTCTGAAGAACAAAAACAGCCAAGATGGTGCTGTTAGTATACAATACGTCTCACCCCTGCCAATTGCCTGGTGCACGGCTTATATTTGTGGACTGGACCCCTGAAGGCTAATTAGGGCCTTTCTCATTGTCTCCTCCACCTAGTTCTTCATTTCAGGTGTGTGTGTGCGTGGATGCATACACGCACATATGTTGGAGGAACAGCG